>NC_000003.12:88494848-88797878 GCF_000001405.40 Homo sapiens
CTCGTCATTTACATTAGGCATATCTCCTAATGCTATCCCTCCCCCATCCCCCCACCCCAGGACAGGCCCTGGTGTGTGATGTTCCCCTTCCTGTGTCCAAGTGTTCTCATTGTTCAATTCCCACCTAAGAGTGAGAGCATGAGTCCTTATAGTAGCATGATTTATAATCCTTGGGTATATACGCAGTAATGGGATCACTGAGTCAAATGGTATTTCTAGTTCAAGATCCTTGAGGAATCGCCACTCTGTCCGCCACAATGGTTGAACTAGTTTACACTCCCACCAACAGTGTAAAATCATTCCTATTTCTCCACATCCTCTCCAGCACCTGTTGTTTCCTGACTTTTTAATGATTGCCATTCTAACTGGTGTGAGATGGTATCTCATTGTGGTTTTGATTTGCATTTCTCTGATGGCCAGTGATGATGAGCATTTTTTCATGTGTCTTTTGGCTGCATAAATGTCTTCTTTTGAGAATTGTCTGTTCATATCCTTTGCCCACTTTTTGATGGGTTGTTTGTTTTTTTCTTGTAAATTTGTTTAAGCTCTTTGTAGATTCTGAATATTAACCGTTTTTCAGATGGATAGATTGCAAAAATGTTCCCCATTCTGTGGGTTGCCTGTTCACTGTGATGATAGTATCTTTTGCTGTGCAGAAGCTCTTTAGTTTAATTAGATCCCATTTGTCAATTTTGGCTTTTGTTGCCTCTGCTTTTGGTGTTTTGGACATGAAGTCTTTGCCCATGCCTATCTTCTGAATGGTATTATCTAGGTTTTCTTCTATGGTTTTTATGGTTTTAGGTCTTACATTTAAGTCTTTAATCCATCTTGAGTTACTTTTGTATAAGATAAAATGAGGGGTCCAGTTTGTTTTCTGCATATGGCTAGCCAGTTTTCCTAACATCATTTATTAAATAGGGAATCCTTTCCCCATTGCTTGTTTTTGTCAGGTTTGTCAAAGATCAGATGGTTGTAGATGTGTGATGTCATTTCTGAGGCCTCTGTTCTGTTCCATTGGTCTGTATATCTCTTTTGGTACCAGTACCATGCTGATTTGGTTACTGTAGCCTTGTAGTATAGTTTGAAGTCAGGTAGCCTGATGCCTCCAGCTTTGCTCTTTTTGCTTAGGATTGTCTTGGCTATACGGGCTGTTTTTTGGTTCCATGTGAAATTTAAAGTAATTTTTTTCTAATTCCGTGAAGAAAATCAGTGGTAGCTTTATGGGAATAGCACTGAATCTATAAACTACTTTGGGTGGTATGGCCTTTTTCATGACATTGATTCTTCCTATCCATGAGCATGGAATGTTTTTCCAGTTGTTTGTGTCCTCGCTTCTTTCCTTGAGCAGTGGTTTGTAGTTCTCTTTGAAGAGGTCCTTCACATCCCTTGTAAGTTATATTCCCTGAATAGACCAATAACAAGTTCTGAAATTGAGGCAGTAATTAATAGCCTACCAACCAAAAAAAGCCCAGGACCAGACGGATTCCCAACCAATATCTACTAGACGGACAAAGAGGAGCTTGTACCATTCCTTCTTAAACTCTTCAAACAATAGAAAAAGAGGGACTCCTCCCTAACTCATTTTATGAGGCTAGCCATCATCCTGATACCAAAACCTGGCAGAGACACAACAAAAAAAGAAAATTTCAGGCCAATATCCCTGATGAACATCGAAGCGAAAATCCTCAATAAAACACTGGCAAACAGAATCCAGCAGCACATCAAAAACTTCTCCACCATGATGAAGTTGGCTTCATCCCTGGGATGCAAGGCTGGTTCATCATATGCAAATCAATAAACATAACCCATCATATAAACAGAACCAATGACAAAAACCACATGATTATCTCAATAGATGTAGAAAAGACCTTTGATAAAATTCGACACCTGTTCATGCTAAAAACTCTCAATAAACTAGGTATTGATGGAACGTTATCTCAAAATAATAAGAGCTATTTATGACAAACCCACAGCCAATATCATACTGAATGGGCAAAAGCTGGAAGCATTCCCTTTAAAAACCGGCACAAGACAAGGATACCCTCTCTCACCACTCCTATTCAACATAGGACACAGAACTTCAAATTGGAAGTTTTGGCCAGGGCAATCAGCCAAGAGGAAGAAATGAAGGGTATTCAAATAGGAAGAGAGGAAGTCAAATTGTCTCTGTTTGCAGATGACATGATTGTATATTTTGAAAACCCCATCGTCTCAGCCCCAGATTCCTTAAACTGATGAGCAACTTCAGCAAAGTCTCAGGATACAAAATCAATGTGCAAAAATCACAAGCATTCCTATACATCAATAATAGACAAACAGAGAGCCAAAGCATGAGTGAATTCCCATTCTCAACTGCTACAAAGAAACTATGTTTTAATAGTATTTTGATGCCTGGATAATCTGAGACTAAGAAGGAGTTTATTTTCCAAACTGCAAGCCACAGGTTGGAAATACTTTTTTAGGTTTTACTTGAGTACTATTTTTTTCCTTTCTTATGCTCGTGTACATGAAATCAGTTAGCATTACCAACCTTCTGTCTGGAAATCTCCTTGTCAGTGTCTACAGGTATGTATTTACATGTAAGCCATTTCTCCTTATTTGAGGTAGTAATGTTACAAGTTTCTGGTGAACACTGAATTAGTGGATACTGAATCATTGGCCCAAGGGAAATACAGGGTTAGATTCCCATGAGCCTCTATTTACAGTATTTTTGTCAATTGACTAATGCATGACCTTGTTTAATGTGCATTTCTGTATAAAGCAACTTTAGTTAATATGTACTTTTGATTTAATTAACATCAAACCTCACAGCCAACATTCCTATGTTCACACTTGAACAAAGCTTATCTAACATGTATTTTCTCCATAAGGCACATTACAGCCTTTTAGCACTTTAGAACATTAGATAGCATTTCGCCAATATGCTTTGGGGTCATTTTTTAGACAGTGAAATCACCAATAAAAAGCACAAAAATGTAAAAATTGCGGCACTAAATAGACTGCAAAAAGAACATTCACAGACAGTAAGGGAGCTGAAACGCAAGGAGAACTGCCCTGTTCGCCTCAGCTGGACCGTAGTGTTGGGTGACTCAGATTTCTCACTGCTATGCACATGTCTACAAATGACAGTGCCACAAGTATTGATTTGGGGATTACAAATATTTTACCAAATAGGCAAACTTACAAACACAGAATCCATGAATAATCAGGATCAACTATATATACAATTTTCACAGAACCCGCAGTAACCCTGATGCCAAACTTTCCAGCACTTCATAGCACAAGTTGTCTTTTTCCAGCCTCCGAAACCAATTGTTTCTCTGTCCTTCTAATCTGTACTAACGTGCCTCTTGGAATCCTCCGGCTTCTGCTCACCACTAGACCCCAAAGCCAATGCCACGTGTGTTAGTGTTGTATTACAGGAACGACTTCAAAGTAACAGTTCTTTTTCAGCTATTGTTTACTCTATAACGATCTACTTCAACCCATAGAGGCTCAAAACAAAAATTCTTTTCCATGTCTTATAGATACATTGGTCACATTGGCTCAACTGGGGGTTCATGTGCTGGTCTTGCCTAGGTTCTCTCCTGCAGTTGCACCCAGGTGGCAACAGTTGGGGGTTCAGGTGGGTTGCTGAGATGGCTGCTCCATGTAGTCTCAAAGCTTCTACTGGCTAGGTGTGGTGGCTCATACCTGTAATCCCAGCACTTTGGGAGGCCAAGATGGGCAGACCACCTGAGGTTAGGAGTTCCAGACCAGCCTGGCCAACAGAAGAAACCTCGTCTTTACTAAAAATACAAAAATTTTACCTATGTAACAAACCTGCATACATACTCCTGAACTCAAAATAAAAAAGGAAAAAAAAATGAAAAATAAAAATACAAAAATTAGCCGTGCATGCTGGTGAGCTCCTGTAATCCCAGCTACTTGGGAGGCTGAGACAGGAGAATTGCTGGAACCCAGGTGGCAGAGGTTGCAGTGAGCTGAGATCGCACCATTGCACTCGAGCTTGGACAACAGAGCAAGATTCCATCTGAGGTCAGGAGTTCGAGACCAACCTCGCCAACATGGCGAAACCCCGTGACTCATAAAAATACAAAAATTAGCTGGCTGTGGTGGCACGCACCTGTAATCCCAGCTACTTGGGAGGCTGAAGCAGGAGAATCGCTTGAACCCAGGTGGCGGAGATTGCAGTGAGCTGAGACTGTGCCAATGCACTCCAACCTGGGTGACAGTGGCAGATCAAGTCTCAAAAACAAAAAAAAGTTCCAACTTTTTCCACTTGGTCTCTTTATGTGGTCTCTCTAGCAGGCTGGTCATATTTCTCACATGGCAGAGCTCCTCAAAAGCAAAAGCTGTCTGGCCTTTTTTAAGGTTTCTCTTGAAACTGCCACTACTTCTACTGATAAACAGTCACAGAGCAAGACTAAGAAAAATAAAATGAGCTTTAGCTCTTAATGACAGAATGAAACAAAATTTGTGGCCATTTTATATCAAACAGTATATCCTTGCCTCATTTTTCACTTCAGTATAAATTTGCATATTTCAGCATTAAGCAGGATTTTTTAAAATTTGGAATTAAAGGGTTTTGTGGGCTTTTCAAAGTCAGGCTATGGGAAATTCTATTTTTTCTCCTCTTGTTGTGAGTTACTATCAGAAATGGATATTGCACATTTTACAAATGTCATTTAGTTTCTATTAAGATAACACTGTATTTTTCTCCTTTTATATATGACTATGGTAAAGTTATAAATGCATGCTCCTATACTGAACCATCCTTGAATTTCTAGAGTAAAATGTTGTGGTCAATTAATAAACTTCTTCAGTGTATTGTGGATTTTTTGATTTTTTAAATATTTCTGCATCAGTAATTGAACACGAGGCCATTGTGTAGTTATATGTGAGTGTGTATTATACATGTCAAGTTTGGGTACCACTATAATTCTAGCTTTGTGCAAAATATTTTGGAAGAGTTCCTTTTTTGTCCTCTGGTCTCGAAGAGTGTAAATTCATTCTTAATATTCCATGGAATTGCAAAGCAGATCATCTGTGAACCCATCTGGGATGGCCTATTATTTTTTACATGTTTAAACTCTCCAAAAAATTTTCTTGTTTTATTCTATAGTTATTGCTCTATTGGTTTTAATTTTTTTCACCTGTATTGATTTCCTCATTTTTATTTCCCAAGAAAATTACATACGTCCAAAAAAGTTTATAGAAAATTGAGCAAATATTCTTTAAATTTCTCTGAGCTTGAAAAACTTACCTATTCCAAACTATAATTTTGTACATGTTGGCTTTCTTCCACTTTTGATTATATTAGGAAACAGTTTATCTACAAAAGAATCTCATCATTCATAATTTCATGGGGTAAAAATCTGGAATAGGAAATCTACTGTGAAAAAATTGGGGGGCAATGTGTGACTTGAAGCCCAGCATACCATTTCTCAGTAAATCCAATGAAGCGAAGTTTTCTTGCTGCATTGGAAGAGATTTGTGTTTCCCTGAGCACCAGATGAAATATGGGTTTGAATGTAGAGACTATGTTGTGTGAAAAATAAGTAAGTTTAAATAACGAATCATAATCACATACAGTGGACCAAGATGCTCATATTATAAAAGAGAGAAGGGAGGTATGATCAAATTAACAGAAAGTCCTTCTACCCTAACTCAGGCTCACTTCAGGCTATATTTATATAGAAGAATGGAGAAATGGTATATAGAAAATTTTCAGGTCTATCACACGTACAAAACAGAAGTTAGCCAAAGATCTTAATATCTAATTGATTCTAAATACTTTTTCTCATTTGGCCCCAATTATATGTAATTGACACATATTCATTCTCAGTTAAGGATCTGAGGTTATAGGTATTTCTGTTTCACTGAAAACCATATTTTTCTCTCTGTTACTTTTGTTTTCTCTTGTTTCTTATGAGTTTTAGAAGAAAAAAATTGAATTAAAATGCATTACTCCGTAATATTTAACCTAAAGCCAAATTCTTCATGTAATTGTATTATTTCTATTTTAGGGATAGCTAACATTTTATTTTATCAGTAAATATATATTAATGAACCAAATATTTTGAATTAAAGTAACTGATTATTATTCTGATCATTATCTAATTATATTTTTTACATTTGACTTTTAAAGTTCGACTTGTCAACTTTGAAATTTCTGCCATTTAGTAAAATGTTTACTTTTTAAATGCTATTGTTATATTAGAATTCTGTCTCAAAGGGATAAACAAAGTAAATTTCAAATTTAATATTGTATTCCAAAATTATTAACAATATTTAAAGTATATAATTGAGTATTCACTAAAACGAGCATTATAATTTAGCTACATTAATTAAATAAGAAAAATATGAGAAACCCAGAGTTCAACATGTACATCTGGTCTCCAGTCTATAATCATGCCAAAATCTATTGCAGATTTTATTTAAATCACTACGGTACAAACTCTTCCTTCTGTCATATGTATTCACCCTTGGTTTCCCAATCAATTTCTATATTTACTTATGTTTGTAGTGAGGAGAGGATTTGATTATAAAAGAAAAGGATTTTAAAAAATATTTCCTAAAATATATTCATTTTCATTTAACATTTTCCATTATTGTCTTAGGACACTTCTTATTTTATTTCTTCATTCATTTAGCTCTTTATGTGTAAACAAGAACTCAGGTTGTGCCAAAGTCTGTGCTAATTTGCTGGAAATACAATGTTAAGTAAGATGATTACAGTCTGTCCTTGTATGGAACTTAAAATATAGTAGGAAAGTTATAATAAAATAAGCTTAAGCTTACAGTATAGTTTGGGAAATGCCACAGTATAGAGAGTACAGTTTTTAAGATAACATCTAGAAAGGACTTCCAATCCAGAATTAGAGAGTCAGAAACAATAAAAAATAAAAAAATAGTTTATGAATTTTTATCTTTGCATAGGAGCCATGTTAATTTTCTCTGTAGAGTTCTAACTTTAGTTCAATCTCTGGCCTGCCTGGGCCAAGTTTAGGCATTATTTTTGAAGTCTAATAAATTGTGAATTTAGCACATGGAAAATTCTCTATTTTTTTGTACATTAAAAAATTATTTCCCCATAAAATGAAATTAATATGAAGAGATAAAAATTTAGAATCAGCCAAAGTTGAATCAAGAAAACCACGACATTATTAAAGTGGTAAAATTGTTATTTCCCCAAATGGGATCCCAGCTTGCAAGTCCATGGATTTACTCACAGGACTCCACTAGCTTTTTTTAAAGTAGTAATAAATATATATATATATATATATATATATATATATATATATATATATATATATATATATATACACACATACATATATATACATATATATGTATTTTTTCCAGCAATATGGCTTTATAGACTAATTCCAACATCTAATTTCTGACTTTTGATTTATAGACCTTCATTTTCAAAGTACATTTTTGGTGTTTTGATTAACAGAAAAGGAGAAAAATTATTCAAAATTTTTAAAATGTAAGAATAGGTTATTTTGAAATGTAAGGTTCATGTGATAAAATAATAAATGGAATCACAAATAATAAAACATTTCTTAACAATCTGCATTCTATTTCAGTGTAACAATCAGATTAACTTTCTTAAAAATGTCTTGATTAGAGAAACAACTAATTACAATGACTGTGGACATTATAAATAACAACATCTTATTTTCTTTAAAGCACACCTTCTTTTTGGCAAAACAAGTGCTTTCTCCATTAGACTGAACAATTTAAAACCAAGTTACTTACCTTGTACATGTATGCTGGAATGATTTCATTGAGATTTATGTCTTATACACTTTCTAGATAATCTGTTTGTAGGTAAGTAGCTCCTGCCAGTGACATAAAGATGCTACTAAGCAAACAATTTTTATTCTGAATTGCAGAAATACAATACAATAAAATATTTTCACTCACATGCTTGCCATATCTCACATCATCTCAAAGGCTATGATAGTAGTCTAAGACAAAAACACATTTTCTCTGAGAGATTTTAACATCTTACATTAGCCTCAACAGCACAAAACTCTACTTAACCCAAATAACTGGCCCAATGACATTTGACCCTAAACTTACTATTTAATCTGATGTACCCACCAACTTCACAGGATTGTTTTGAAGATCAAATGGGAATACATGTATGATAGTATTTTTAAAAGTCAGAAGTACATGACAATGGTTATTGCAAAATTACAACTCAAAATAATATATTAAAATCCTTTTAGTGATTGATTTTTTTATTATACTTTAAGTTTTAGGGTACATGTGCACATTGTGCAGGTTAGTTACATATGTATACATGTGCCTTGCTGGTGCGCTGCACCCACTAACACGTCATCTAGCATTAGGTATATCTCCCGATGCTATCCTTCCCCCTTCCCCCCACCCCACAACAGTCCCCAGAGTGTGATATTCCCCTTCCTGTGTCCATGTGATCTCATTGTTCAATTCCCACCTATGAGTGAGAATATGCGGTGTTTGGTTTTTTGTTCTTGCGATAGTTTACTGAGAATGATGATTTCCAATTTCATCCATGTCCCTACAAAGGACATGAACTCATCATTTTTTATGGCTGCATAGTATTCCACGGTGTATATGTGCCACATTTTCTTAATCCAGTCTATCATTGTTGGACACTTGGGTTGGTTCCAAGTCTTTGCTATTGTGAATAATGCCACGATAAACATACATGTGCATGTGTCTTTATAGCAGCATGATTTATAGTCCTTTGGGTATATACCCAGTAATGGGATGGCTGGGTCAAATGGTATTTCCAGTTCTAGATCCCTGAGGAATCGCCACACTGACTTCCACAATGGTTGAACTAGTTTACAGTCCCACCAACAGGGTAAAAGTGTTCCTATTTCTCCACATCCTCTCCAGCACCTGTTGTTTCCTGACTTTTTAATGATTGCCATTCTAACTGGTGTGAGATGGTATCTCATTGTGGTTTTGATTTGCATTTCTCTGATGGCCAGTGATGATGAGCATTTTTTCATGTGTTTTTTGGCTGCATAAATGTCTTCTTTTGAGAAGTGTCTGTTCATGTCCTTTGCCCACTTTTTGATGGGGTTGTTTGTTTTTTTCTTGTAAATTTGTTTGAGTTCATTGTAGATTCTGGATATTAGCCCTTTGTCAGATGAGTAGGTTGCAAAAGTTTTCTCCCATTTTGTAGGTTGCCTGTTCACTCTGATGGTAGTTTGTTTTGCTGTGCAGAAGCTCTTTAGTTTAATTAGATCCCATTTGTCAATTTTGTCTTTTGTTGCCATTGCTTTTGGTGTTTTAGACATGAAGTCCTTGCCCATGCCTATGTCCTGAATGGTAATGCCTAGGTTTTCTTCTAGGGTTTTTATGGTTTTAGGTCTAACGTTTAAGTCTTTAATCCATCTTGAATTGATTTTTGTATAAGGTGTAAGAAAGGGATCCAGTTTCAGCTTTCTACATATGGCTAGCCAGTTTTCCCAGCACCATTTATTAAATAGGGAATCCTTTCCCCATTGCTTGTTTTTCTCAGTTTTGTCAAAGATCAGATAGTTGTAGATATGCGGTGTTATTTCTGAGGGCTGTTCTGTTCCATTGATCTATATCTCTGTTTTGGTACCAGTACCATGATGTTTTGGTTACTGTAGCCTTGTAGTATAGTTTGAAGTCAGGTAGTGTGATGCCTCCAGCTTTGTTGTTTTGGCTTAGGATTGACTTGGCGATGCGGGCTCTTTTTTGGTTCCATATGAACTTTAAAGTAGTTTTTTCCAATTCTGTGAAGAAAGTCATTGGTAGCTTGATGGGGATGGCATTGAATCTGTAAATTACCTTGGGCAGTATGGCCATTTTCACGATATTGATTCTTCCTACCCATGAGCATGGAATGTTCTTCCATTTGTTTGTATCCTCTTTTATTTCTTTGAGCAGTGGTTTGTAGTTCTCCTTGAAGAGGTCCTTCACATCCCTTGTAAGTGGTATTCCTAGGTATTTTATTCTCTTTGAAGCAATTGTGAATGGGAGTTCACTCATGATTTGGCTCTCTGTTTGTCTGTTATTGGTGTATAAGAATGCCTGTGATTTTTGTACATTGATTTTGTATCCTGACACTTTGCTGAAGTTGCTTATCAGCTTAAGGAGATTTTGGGCTGAGACAATGGGGTTTTCTAGATATACAAGCATGTCATCTGCAAACAGGGACAATTTGACTTCCTCTTTTCCTAATTGAATACCCTTTATTTCCTTCTCCTGCCTAATTGCCCTGGCCAGAACTTCCAACACTATGTTGAATAGGAGTGGTGAGAGAGGGCATCCCTGTCTTGTGCCAGTTTTCAAAGGGAATGCTTCCAGTTTTTGCCCATTCAGTATGATGGCTGTGGGTTTGTCATAGATAGCTCTTATTATTTTGAAATACGTCCCATCAATACCTAATTTATTGAGAGTTTTTAGCATGAAGTGTTGTTGAATTTTGTCAAAGGCTTTTTCTGCATCTATTGAGATAATCATGTGGTTTCTGTCTTTGGCTCTGTTTATATGCTGGATTACATTTACTGATTTGCATATAGTGAACCAGCCTTGCATCCCAGGGATGAAGCCCAGTTGATCATGGTGGATAAGCTTTTTGATGTGCTGCTGGATTCATTTTGCCAGCATTTTATTGAGGATTTTTGCATCAATGTTCATCAAGGATATTGGTCTAAAATTCTCTTTTTTTGTTGTGTCTCTGCCTGGCTTTGGTATCAGAATGATGCTGGCCTCATAAAATGAGTTAGGGAGGATTCACTCTTTTTCTATTGATTGGAATAGTTTCAGAAGGAATGGTACCAGTTCCTCCTTGTACCTCTGGTAGAATTCGGCTGTGAAGCCATCTGGTCCTGGACTCTTTTTGGTTGGTAAGCTATTGATTATTGCCACAATTTCAGCTCCTGTTATTGGTCTATTCAGAGATTCAACTTCTTCCTGGTTTAGTCTTGGGAGAGTGTATGTGTCCAGGAATTTATCCATTTCTTCTAGATTTTCTAGTTTATTTGCATAGAGGTGTTTGTAGTATTCTCTGATGGTAGTTTGTATTTCTGTGGGATCGGTGGTGATATCCCCTTTATCATTTTTTATTGCGTCTATTTGATTCTTCTCTCTTTTTTTCTTTATTAGTCTTGCTAGAGGTCTATCAATTTTGTTGATCTTTTCAAAAAACCAGCTCCTGGATTCATTAATTTTTTGAAGCCTTTTTGTGTCTCTATTTCCTTCAGTTCTGCTCTGATTTTAGTTATTTCTTGCCTTCTGCTAGCTTTTGAATGTGTTTGCTCTTGCTTTTCTAGTTCTTTTAATTGTGATGTTAGGGTGTCAATTTTGGATCTTTCCTGCTGTCTCTTGTGGGCATTTAGTGCTATAAATTTTCCTCTACACACTGCTTTGAATGCGTCCCAGAGATTCTGGTATGTTGTGTCTTTGTTCTCGTTGGTTTCAAAGAACATCTTTATTTCTGCCTTCATTTCGTTATGTACCCAGTAGTCATTCAGGAGCAGGTTGTTCAGTTTCCATGTAGTTGAGCGGCTTTGAGTGAGATTCTTAATCCTGAGTTCTAGTTTGATTGCACTGTGGTCTGAGAGATAGTTTGTTATAATTTCTGTTCTTTTACATTTGCTGAGGAGAGCTTTACTTCCCAGTATGTGGTCAATTTTGGAATAGGTGTGGTGTGGTGCTGAAAAAGATGTATATTCTGTTGACATGGGGTGGAGAGTTCTGTAGATGTCTATTAGGTCCACTTGGTGCAGAGCTGAGTTCAATTCCTGGGTATCCTTGTTGACTTTCTGTCTCGTTGATCTGTCTAATGTTGACAGTGGGGTGTTAAAGTCTCCCATTATTAATGTGTGGGAGTCTAAGTCTCTTTGTAGGTCTCTAAGGACTTGCTTTATGAATCTTGGTGCTCCTGTATTGGGTGCATATATATTTAGGATAGTTAGCTCTTCTTGCTGAATTGATCCCTTTACCATTATGTAATGGCCTTCTTTGTCTCTTTTGATCTTTGTTGGTTTAAAGTCTGTTTTATCAGAGACTAGGATTGCAACCCCTGCATTTTTTTGTTTTCCATTGGTTTTGTAGATCTTCCTCCATCCTTTTATTTTGAGCCTATGTGTGTCTCTGCATGTGAGATGGGTTTCCTGAATACAGCACACTGATGGGTCTTGACTCTTTATCCAATTTGCCAGTCTGTGTCTTTTAATTGGAGCATTTAGTCCATTTACATTTAAATTTAATATTGTTATGTGTGAATTTGATCCTGTCATTATGATGTTAGCTGGTTATTTTGCTCGTTAGTTGATGCAGGTTCTTCCTAGTCTTGATGGTCTTTACATTTTGGCATGATTTTGCAGCTGCTGGTACTGGTTGTTCCTTTCCATGTTTAGTGCTTCCTTCAGGAGCTCTTGTAAGGCAGGCCTGGTGGTGACAAAATCTCTCAGCATTTGCTTGTCTGTAAAGTATTTTATTTCTCCTTCACTTATGAAGCTTAGTTTGTCTGGATATGAAATTCTGGGTTGAAAATTCTTTTCTTTAAGAATGTCGAATATTGGCCCCCACTCTCTTCTGGCTTGTAGGGTTTCTGCCGAGAGATCCGCTGTTAGTCTGATGGGCTTCCCTTTGAGGGTAACCCGACCTTTCTCTCTGGCTGCCCTTAACATTTTTTCCTTCATTTCAACTTTGGTGAATCTGACAATTATGTGTCTTGGAGTTGCTCTTCTCGAGGAGTATCTTTGTGGCGTTCTCTGTATTTCCTGAATCTGAACACTGGCCTGCCTTGCTAGATTGGGGAAGTTCTCCTGGATAATATCCTGCAGAGTGTTTTCCAACTTGGTTCCATTCTCCCCATCAGTTTCAGGTACACCAATCAGACGTAGATTTGGTCTTTTCACATAGTCCCATATTTCTTGGAGGCTTTGCTCATTTCTTTTTATTATTTTTTCTCTAAACTTCCCTTCTCACTTCATTTCATTCATTTCATCTTCCATTGCTGATACCCTTTCTTCCAATTGATCGTGTCGGCTCCTGAGGCTTCTGCATTCTTCACGTAGTTCTCGAGTGTTGGTTTTCAGCTTCATCAGCTCCTTTAAGCACTTCTCTGTATTGGTTATTCTAGTTATACATTCTTCTAAATTTTTTTCAAAGTTTTCAACTTCTTTGCCTTTGGTTTGAATGTCCTCCCGTAGCTCAGAGTAATTTGATCGTCTGAAGCCTTCTTCTCTCAGCTCATCAAAGTCATTCTCCATCCAGCTTTGTTCCGTTGCTGGTGAGGAACTGCGTTCCTTTGGAGGAGGAGAGGTGCTCTGCTTTTTAGAGTTTCCAATTTTTCTGTTCTGTTTTTTCCCCATCTTTGTGGTTTTATCTACTTTTGGTTTTTGATGATGGTGATGTACAGATGGGTTTTTGGCATGGATGTCCTTTTTGTTTGTTAGTTTTCCTTCTAACAGAGAGGACCCTCAGCTGCAGGTCTGTTGGAGTACCCTGCCGTGTGAGGTGTCAGTGTGCCCCTGCTGGGGGGTGCCTCCCAGTTAGGCTGCTCGGGGGTCAGGGGTCAGGGACCCACTTGAGGAGGCAGTCTGCCCGTTCTCAGATCTCCAGCTGCGTGCTGGGAGAACCACTGCTCTCTTCAAAGCTGTCAGACAGGGACATTTAAGTCTGCAGAGGTTACTGCTGTCTTTTTGTTTGTCTGTGCCCTGCCCCCAGAGGTGGAGCCTACAGAGGCAGGCAGGCCTCCTTGAGCTGTGGTGGGCTCCACCCAGTTCGAGCTTCCCGGCTGCTTTGTTTACCTAAGCAAGCCTGGGCAATGGCAGGCGCCCCTCCCCCAGCCTCGCTGCCGCCTTGCAGTTTGATCTCAGACTGCTGTGCTAGCAATCAGCGAGACTCCGTGGGCGTAGGACCCTCCGAGCCAGGTGTGGGATATAATCTTGTGGTGCGCCGTTTTTTAAGCCCATCAGAAAAGCGCAGTATTCGGGTGGGAGTGACCCGATTTTCCAGGTGCCATCTGTCACCCCTTTCTTTGACTGAGAAAGGGAACTCCCTGACCCCTTGAGCTTCCCAAGTGAGGCAATGCCTCACCCTGCTTCGGCTCGCGCACGGTGCGTGCACCCACTGACCTTCGCCCACTGTCTGGCACTCCCTAGTGAGATGAACTCGGTACCTCAGATGGAAATGCAGAAATCACCCGTCTTCTGCGTCACTCACGCTGGGAGCTGTAGACGGGAGCTGTTCCTATTCGGCCATCTTGGCTCCTCCCCCTAGTGATTGATTTTTAACCATAACTGCTGAATATTTTTTTTCTGTACCATCACCTCTGGAATCATCTATAATGTTTTGCATTCTTATAGTTATTAAAACTGTAGTCCAATTGGAAATTTTAATTTCAATCTCAATTTCAGGTTTGCAGTGACCCATGGTTGCTTTAATATAGACAAAGTGATCATGCTATTACTTTGATTCACAGGAACACCCCTTCTTTAAGAACCTACTTCTCAGGGCTGCAGGATCATTTTTTTTTTAACCTTCAGTGTTGGTCATTACTGTATTGCTGCATCTACACTAACCTGTTCATCAGTACCTTCTGTGAATGTCAAGCATCAAATAGCTGGCGGTTGTTTCACTTTTGAGTTATCTGGAAAGCCCTGAAGCCCACCTCAAATGGGATTCAACTTATACCTGACTAGTTATGCAAGATTCACCAGGTTTCCTCTACCCACTGACTGGTACTCTATTGTGAAGTATAGTTACCGGAGCTGATGTTTGGGTATCTTTGGTTGTGTTCCTTGAATAAAAGGAAACTCTCACATGCTGATCACAGCACATGATGAGAATGTGCACTGCTCCACTGCATGCCATTCTCTCATCCCTGCCACCTGCCTAATTCCTTTCCTTCCTGCTCACGTAGCACAGAGTCTGATCTGATAAGCCATTGCCTAAGCAAACATCCAACTGGGAAATGAAAGCAACTCTACAGCTTTAAAGGCATCCCTATTCCCTGTACTATTCCTCTTGGAGTTTCCTTCTCATTTGGCAAAATGAAGATTAAAGCACATAGAAATACACATGGATCTGACAATTGAAACCATAGACGTCTATCCTATCCTATCTCCCAAAGAGAGTTAATTGATTCTTCATTCACCAAATACTCATCCAGTGTCAACTGTGGACCAATCAGAATACAAAGATCTGGAGATAAAATATGTAAAGTTAGACTTGATTACTATCTTAAAATTCAACAGTCTTGGGAAGAGTGAATGGCAAATATTGACCACACGATAAATCCAAAATTATATCTTGTGATTTTGTTTCTTCTAATGATGGATCACTAAACAACACTAAAATAACATCATATTGTTTCAGCAACATTATGAATATATCAAATCAGCATAATATTGAGGAAAAATAAAGCGAGATAGAAAGAATATGAACATTGAGAAAACTAATCTTTGGTGTTAGAATCAAGATGGTGGTTTCCTTTGGGGGGAATGGTGGATAGCTTCAGAATTGGCTCAAAGGGATATCTGAGGAACTGGTAATGTTCTAATTTTTGGCAAGTTGTTAGTTATATGGATGTGTCTTCTTTATTATATTATTATATTAGGGCACAAACCTTCAGCTTTGTGCATTATTTAATATGCTGTGGACTGAATCTCTCGCTTCTCCAAATTCATTTGTTGAAGCCCCAATTTCCCAATATGACTGTAGTTGGATGCAATTTATAAGGAAATACAGTTAAATGAGATCATAAAAGTGGGACCCTAACCTGATAAGGTAGGTGAGTTTGTAAGAAGAAACAGGAAAAGACATTTCCCTCTCTCTTCATGCATTTACACACAGGGGAAAGGCTATGTGAGCACATAGAGATGACACCTGCCTATAAGCCAAAAGATGTCTCAAAATGAACCTACCTTGCAAGCACCTTAATCTTGGACTATCCAGCCTTCAGAGCTGTGAGAAATAATTACTTTAAATATAAATGGATAAAACTCTCCAATCAAAAGGCATAAAGTGGCAGAAAGGATTAAGAAAACAAAACAAGGCAATAAGCAGTGATATGCTGTCTCAGAAGACTCACTATATATTTAAGGACACACACACACTGAAAGTGAAGGATGGAAAAAGATATCCCATGAAAATGGTAATCAAAGGAAATCAAGAGTATCTACTTTTATATCAGACAAAATAGAATTTAAGCAAAAACTTTATAGAGACAAATAAGGTCATAATATGATGATAAAAGGGTCAATTCAACAGGGAGATAAAATAATTATAATCATATTCACACCTAACATTAGAGAACCTAAATATATAAAGCAAGATCCAAAGGGAAAAATCGACTAGTGGGAGACTCAGTACTTTACTTTAGATAATGTATATAACATCCAGACAGAAATCAATAAACCATTAACTTGAACAAAACTATGGGCCAAATAAAACAAATAGACATATACAGAACTTTCCACCCAAAAGCATTAGAATACGCATTCTTCTAACAACACAGAAAACATTCTTCAGGATAGATTAATAACTAGGTTACAAAACAAGACTTAACAACATTTAAGATCAAAATCATTTCAAGTATCTTTTACAACCACAATGGAATGAAACTAGAAATCAGTAACAATAAGTAAACAGGAAATTTCACAAATATATGGAAACTAAACAATACATTTTTTAACAACCATTGGGTCAAAGAGAAAATCAAAAAGAATTTTTTAAAACTCTCAAGACTAACAGGCATGGTGGCACATCCCTGTAATCCCAGCACTTTGGGAGACCAACATGGACAGATTGCTTGAGAGTAGGAGTTCAAGACTAGCCTGGGAAACATGATGAAACCCTGTCTCCCCAAAAAAATATAAAAAATTAGTCAGGTAGGCCAGACGCGATGGCTCACGCCTGTAATCCCAGCACTTTGGGAGGTCAAGGCGGGCGGATCACGAGGTCAGGAGATCGAGACCATCCTGGCTAACACGGCGAAAACCCGTCTCCACTAAATACAAAAAGTTAGCCAGGCGTGGTGGTGGGTGCCTGTAGTCCCAGCTACTTGGGAGGCTAAGACAGGAGAATGGCGTGAACCCGGGAGGCGGAGGTTGCAGTGAGCCGAGACCGTGCCACTGCACTCCAGCCTGGGCAACAGAGCAAGACTCTGTCTCAAAAAATGAAGTAGCAAATGCAAAGATTGAATCAGTAACCAAAAACATTCCAACAAATAAAAACCCAGTACCAGATGGCTTCACTGGTGAATTCTACCAAACATTCAAAGAATAATTAATATCATTTTTTCTTAAACTATTACAAAAATAAACAGAAGAGTAAACACTTCCAAACTCATTTGACACCATCATCACTCTGATACCAAATTCAGATAAAACACAACAAGAAGTAAATCCACACACTTATAGTCAACTGATGTTTAACAAGGGTGCCAAGAACACACAGTGGGGAAAGAATGATCTCTTCAATAAATAGTATACGGAAAATGGGATATTCACATGATATTGGAATGATATTGGATACTTATCTCACACTATGCACAAGAGAATGATATTGGATACTTATCTCACACTGTGCACAAAAATAAACTTAAAATGGATTTAAGACTTAAATGTGAGACACGAAACAGCAAACTACTAGAAGATAGCACAGGGAAAAAGCTTATTAACGGTTGTCTGGGCAATGATGTTTTTATCTATACCACTAAAATCATGGGAAATGAAAGTAAAAGTAGATTAAATAGAACTACCTCAAATAAAAATATTCTGCACAGCAAAAGAAGCAATTAGCAGAGTAAAAAAGGAACCTTTGGAATGGGAGAAAATATGTGCAAGCCTTGTATCTGGTAAGAGATCAATATCCAAACTATATAAGGAACTCCAAACGATAGCAAAAAACAACCCAATTAAAAAACGGGCAAAGAACCTGAATAAATATTTTTCAAAATAAAAAATCTGGAAATAGCCAACAGGCATATTAAACAGTATTCAATTTCACTAGGGAAGGCAAATCAAAGCCATAATGAGATATCACCTCATACCAGTTAGAATGACTACTATCTAAAAAACAAAAAATAATGAGCGCTGGTGAGGATGCAGACAAAAGATAACATTTTACACACTAATCATGGGAATGTAAATTATTACAGTCATTATGGAAAACAATATGGAGTTTCCTCAAAATGTTTAAAATAGAACTACCATGGGAGTATAAATTAGTTCAACCATTGTGGAAAACAGTGTGGCAATTCCTCAAGGATCTAGAACCAGAAATACCAATTGATCCCGCAATCCCATTACTTCGCATATACCCAAAGGATATACTATAAAGACACACACACATGTATGTTTATTGCAGCACTATTCACAATAGCAAAGACTTGGAACCAACCCAAATGCCCATCAATGATAGATTGGAACCAACCCAAATGCCCATCAATGATAGTATTCCATGGATACGCCATGGAATACTATGAAGCCATAAAAAAGGATGAGTTCATGTCCTTTGCAGGGACATGGATGAAGCTAGACATCATTCTCAGCAAACTAACACAGGAACAGAAAACGAAACACCACATGTTGTCACTCATAAGTGGGACTTGAACAACAAGTGCACATGGACACAGGGAGGGGAACATCACACAGTGAGGCCTGTCTGGGGGTCGGGGGCTAGGGGAGGGATAACATTAGGAGAAATACCTAATGTAGATGACGGGTTGATGGCTGCAGCAAACCACAATGGCATGTGTATACCTATGTAACAAACCTGCACGTTCTGCGCATGTATCCCAGAACTTAAAGTATAATAATAATAAAACAAAAATAATTTCAAGAAAAGATCAAATTTATGGCACTGGAAAGAAAAAACTGTGAATTCGGATATGGAGCTTGCAGATATAAGGCTCTATTAGTACTTCAGAATAATATAAGAAATATAAGATGCTGCTTATCAGCCTCTGTCTGCTAGAAAATAGGGCTTCTAAGAATCCTAGTGGTGTGGTTCTACAGTACTTCAACTCTCAGTTCAAGGGAGAGTGGGGCCTAAATGAAAAAGCTACGTAGGTGTGACTTTTGTCTGCTTGAGTATATTATACCTGATGCACAAGAAAGCTGCATCCTGGGTACACGAAGATAAAAATGTACCTCTTAATTCTAAGGATCATAGTTCAAGAGTAACTCCTTCTCAGGAGCCTGAGCCACATTCATATCTCATTTTAATGATTTCTTGAAGTTAGAACATCTGATAAAATTGTTCAGGGTCCTGGAGGGAGGTCAGTGTACTTTACATGGGACAGGAGTATAAATAATTGTAGGCAAAAGGCTGACTAATAGGTTTAAAGATGACAGCATATTCTTCTGCCTTGAGTGGTCAAGTTTATTTTACCGTCAATCGAATCTGGGTGACCCAGTGACTGTTTACCTAATAGAAGGTGATAGAAGTAATTCTTAGCCAGTTGCAGGCTTAAGTCTTAAGAGGATCTAGGCCACTTTTACTTTTGCACTTTGGAGAGCTTTGAGCCACCATGTAAGAAGTATAACATCACTGCAGGAGGGAATATGTTGCGAGAATATGGCCAGTGGAAAGGGCTTATGAATACATGGATACAAGAGAAACCCACTGCTATAGTATCCCCATCAGGTCTCCAGACAACTCCAGCTCCAACTACAATTTGAGGGCAACTGCATGAGCAACCTTAAGTAACACAAGCAGAACTTCCCATCAAGCTGAGAAAACCGACACAACTGTGAGGGAAAACCAATGATGGTGTTTTATACACTCTTTTCAGGTGGTTTATTATATAACAATGAATAATTGGAGTATTCCCTACCACTGTTACTAGTTAACATTGTTTTAAAAATTCTTGCCAATGTCAATTGTCAAAATAAAGATATAATAAATATCAAAATTGGAAGAAAAATGTAAAATTATTATTCTTAGTACATATAATATGATTGTATGACTGGAAAATTTATGAGATATTATAAATATTTGGTAAGTTAGTTGTTCTCAAAATTAATATATAAAAACTATCTTTCTTATTATACAACAACCATTTAGAAATAGAATGGAACAATGTTATTTATAAAAATAATTAAAAGATAAAATATCTAGAAATAAACCTAACAAGAACTTTAAAATATTTAGATGAAGAAATTTTACAACTGTTTCAGGATATAAAAGAAGATGAAAATATGTAATGCATATCTTTTTCTTGTTTGAAAATATTCAGTATTTTTTGTTTAAATTATTTGTGTAGTAGTCAATAAATAAAATGTGCTCCACATCAAATGTGATCCAAATAAAATGTGATCCACATACTAACACAGTTTTTCTCAAATGTGATACAATTATGCTATATGCATGAGGAAAAACAGTCATGAGAAAAATATAAGGGAAACTATACAAATAATATTTATGAGAGAGAACTAGAACAACCACATTTAGATACACAACATAAAGTTATAATATTAAGTTCTGTGTTGAGAGAAGGATAATAAATGAGAGACTAAAATCCAGAGAAAGATGTAATAGATAGAAAATGTGGGAATATATTGTTTATTTAGTCCTAGCTGGGGCAACTGGCTACCCCAATAAAGTTATATCTCAACTTCTTTCTTTATACTAAAATAAATTCCAGATGGCTCAGAGATTTAAATATAAAAAAGAAACCATAAATGTGCCAAAGAAATAGAAAAGTTTCTTCACAATTTTCAAATAAAAAGATCTTTTCCATGTGATATAAAACTTATGGAATAATTTGGTAAAATTTGCCAAAATTAGAATTTAAATAATTTTAAACTCAGCAATTCAAAGTTTAGGCATTTATTCTACAGTTATATTTATTTAAGTAAGCAAAGTACAGTTATGTTTCATACATTTACAAAAATATTATAAAATGTTCATCATAGCATTGTTTTGAAAAGGAACAAATAATCTAAATGTCCACCACTAAGGGAATTATTAAGTAAATTTTGATTAGTCTGTATAGTGGAAAGAAATACAGTTCCTTAGAAAACAACAAAATTCTCTATGCTCAGATAGAGAAAGCTATCTATAACATGTTAAAAAAAACAAGGCTCAGAAAATTATATAAAATATCCTTTTTACACAAAAAGTACATATAATGTACTGGTAGATGAAAAATATATTTCTAGAAGGTTTAATGAGAAATAGTTTAGTTTGGACATGCTATGAATCCATGCATTATCTCTTTTGTGTTTTCATTTTGTTTTACTTTTGTTTCTTTTATTTCCTTCTCCCTAATCTTATTATCTTCCCCTCCATTTCCAACTCTTGCTTATTTAATTTATATAGGTGCTAAGTATTCTCTTGTTTCTTCTTTCTTTATTATGTTTTACAAATTCTTCCAGAATGATAAATACCATTCATTTTAAATTATCTTTCATAATTTCATTATTTGAAGCTACCACATTTATCTAGCCACTTTGCTGAGTTGACATTGACGTTTCCAACTCTTTGTTACTAAAATAATGCAGCAAAGATTATCATCCCCATGGCTACTTATTCAACGCTGAGAGAAATCTCTAAAAGTATAATGTGGGGGTGGAATTGCAGGACTGTACTGTTTATTCATATCCAATGCATGCCTCCAAACTACTACAAAATGCCTGACTAGTTTCCATGCCATCATTGGCAGTGCCTAAGGGGCTATTCTTGTCATTACATCCTCATCAGCTCCTGGTAATAATTCACTATTAAATTTTGCTAATTAGACAGTAAAAATGAGCATGTTTTAGAATTTTTACTTTTGTTTGCTTAAAATGATGCTGATAATCTCTTTATATTTGTATTATCTTTTAAAATTTTGCTTTTTATGTGTAAGTTTCATACTCATTTTATTTTTCTATTGTGTTTCTGCATTTTATTGTTGACTTTCAAAATATTTGTATTGGAATTCACATATATATTTATATGTACATACATAGAGAGAAAGAGTTAACTTTTGTATTTATAGTTATTTCCTTTTTTTGTCTAACTTTTATTTTAAGCTCAGGGGTACATGTGCATGTGTGTTACATGGGTAAATTGTGTGTTGTGTGTGGGGGTTTCTTCACCTGTGTAATAAACATTTTGAAATCTTACACTTCTCCTGCCCTCCACCCTCAAGCAGGACCCAGTAATTATTGTTTCCTTCTTTGTGTCCATGTATTTTCATCATTTAGCTCCCACTTAAAAGTGAGAACACGTGGTATTTGGTTTTTGGCTTCTGCATTAATTCACTTAGGATAATGGCCTCCAGCTCCATCCATGTTCCTCCAGAGGACATGACCTCTTTCCTTTTTATGGCTATGTAGTATTCCATGGGAACTATGTACCACATTTTCTTTATTCAGTACACTATTGATGGGCATCTAGGTTGACTCCATGTCTCTGCTATTGTCAATAGTGCTGCAATGAACATATACATGCACATGTCTTTATGGTAGAATGATTTACATTCCTTTGGGTTTATACCCAGTAATGGGATTGCTGGGTTGAATGGTAGTTCAACTCTTAGTTCTTTGAGAAATCTCCAGACTACTTTCCATGGTGGCTGAACTAATTTACATTACCACCAGTAGTGTATAATCAATCTGTTTTCTCCACAACCTCACCAGCATCTTCACTGGTGTTAGAGGTACATCTCATTGTGGTGTTCATTTGCATTTCTTTAATGGCTAGTGAAGTTGAACAGTTTTCATATGCTTTTTTGCCATGTGTGTGTCTTCTTTTGAGAAGTGGCTGTTAAGGTCCTTTGCCCATTTTTTATTGATGTTATTTTTTTGCTTGTTAGTTTGCTTAAGTTCCTTATAGATTCTGGGTTATAGAACTTTGTTGGAACATCCTTTGCAAATATTTTTTCCCATTCTGTAGGTTGTCTGTTTACTTTGTTGATAGTTTCTTTTGCTCTGCAGAAGCTCTTTAGTTTTATTAAGTCCCATGTTCCAATTTTTGCTTTTGTTGCAATTGCTTTTGGTGTCTGTGTAATGAAATCTTTGCCAGGGCCAATGTCTAGAATGGCATTTCCTAGGTTTCCTTCTAGAGTTTTTATAGTCTTAGGTTTTAAGTCCTTAATCCACCTTGAGTTGATTTTGTATATGGTGAAAGGAAGGGTTGAGTTTCAATCTTCTGCATGTGGCTTAACAGTTATCCCTGCAGCATTTAATGAATAAGGAGTTCTTTCCCCATTGGTTGTTACTGTCTACTTCATCAAAGATCATATGTTATAGGTGTGTGGCTCTACTTCTGGATTCTCTAACCCATTCCATTGGTCTATGTGTCTGTTTTGGTACCAGTACTATGATGTTTTAGTTACTATAGCTTTGTAGTGTTGGAAGTTGGGTAGTGTGATGTCTCTGTCTTTGTTCTTTTTTCTTAGGATTGCTTTGGCTATTCAGGCTCTTTTTTGGTTTCATATGAATTTTAGAATAGGTTTTTCTAAGTCTGTGAAAAATGTCTTTGGTAGTTTGATGGAGACAACATTGAATCTGCTTTGGGTAGTATGGCCATTTTAACAATATTGATTTTTTTCTATCCATGAGCATGGAATATTTATTTATTTATTTGTGCTTATTTGAGCCATGTTTTATAATTCTCATTGTAGAGATTTTTCACCTTACTGGTTAGCTGTATTCCTAGGTATTTTATTCTTTTTCTGGCTATCGTGAATGGGACCGTGTTCTTGATTCATCTCTCAGCTTGGATGTTGTTGGTTTTTCAGAAATGCTACTGAATTCTGAAACTTTGAAGTTGTTTATCAGATCTAGGAGCTTTTGGGCAGGGCTACAGTGTTTTTTAGGCATGAAATAATATTCTGTGAAAAGAGATAATATAACTATTCTCTTCCTATTTACATGCCTTTTATTTCTTTCTCTTGCTGGATTGCTGTGGCTAAGACTTCTGGTACTATATTGAATAGGAGTCATAATGGACATCCTTGTTTTATTCTAGTTCCAAGGGAATGCTTCCAGTTTTTCCTCATTTAGTATAACATTAGCTGTGGGTTTATCATAGATAGTTCTTAATATGTTGATGTATTTTTCTTTGATGCCTGGTTTGTTGAGGGTTTAACACAAAGATATATTGAATTTTATTGAAAGCCATTTCTGCATATATTGAGGTAATCATGTGGTTTTTGTTTTTAGTTCTGTTTATGTAATGTGTCTGTTCTCATGCTGCTATAAAGAAATACCCAAGACTGGCTAATTTATAAAGAAAGGAGGTTTAATTGACTGACAGATCTGTGTACCTAGGGAGCCCTCAGGAAACTTACAATCATGGCAGAAGGCACCTCTTCACAGAGCAGGAGGAGAGAGAGAGTGAGTGCTGAGTGAAGGGGACACTCTTTTTTTTTTTTTTTTTTTTTTTTTGAGATGGAGTTTCACTCTTGTTGCCCAGGCTGGAGTGCAATGGCACGACCTTGGCTCACCACAATGTCTGGCTCCTGGTTCCAAGTGATTCTCCTCCCTCAGCCTCTCCAGTGGCTGGGATTACAGGCATGCGCCACCACGCCTGACTAATTTTGTATTTTTAGTAGAGACGGAGTTTCTCCATATTGGTCAGGCTGGTCTCGAACTCCTGACCTCAGATGATCCCCCCACCTTGGCCTCCCAAAGTTCTGGAATTACAGGCATGAGCCACCGCAGCTGGCTGCAAAGGGGGCACTCTTATAAAACCCTTACAAAACCATCAGATTTCATGAGAACTCACTCACTATCATCAGAACAGCATGAAGGAAACCATATGTATGATTCAATTATCTGCACCCGGTCCTGCCCTTGACACATGGAGATTATTACAATTCAAGGTGAGATTTGGGTGGGGACAGAGAGCCAAACCATATCATGATGAATCACACTTATTTATTTGTGTATGTTGAACCAACCTTGCACCCCAGAAGTAAAGCCTATTTGTTCACAGTAGATTAGCTTTTTGATGTGCTGCTGGATTTCCTTTGCTAGTATTTTGTTGAGGATTTTCATATCTGTGTTCATCAGGGATGGTGGCCTGAAGTTTTCTGTTTTTGTTGTTTCTCTGCCAGGTTTGGGTATCAGGATAATGCTGGCCTCATTGAGTGGGTTAGGGAAAATCTCTCCTCCTTAATTTTTTGGAATAATTTCAGTAGGATTGGTACTAGTTCTTCTTTATATATTTGGTAGAATTTGGCTGTGAATTTGTTTAGTCCTGGCTTTTCTGGTTAGTAGGCTTTTTCTGGTTTTATTACTGATTCAATTTTGGAACTTGTTATTGGTCTGTTCAGAGTTTCAATTTCTTCCTGGTTCAATCTTGGGAGGTCATATGTTTCCAGGAATTTATTAGTTTCTTCTAGGTTTTCTAGTTTGTGTGCATATAGGTATTCATAATTGTCTGCAGATTTTTTGCATTCTTATGGGGTCAGTGGTAATGTTCTCTTTGCCATTTCTGATTGCTTTCTATGTAGCTTCTCCTTTTTTTTCTTTATTAGTCTCCTAGTGACCTATCAATATTATTTATTTTTCCATAAAAAAACCCAGCTTTTGGTTTCATTGATTTTTTGTGTGTTTTTTTTTACCTCTCTATTGCATTCAGTTAATCTCTGATTTTGGTTATTTCTTTTCTTCTGCTAGCTTTGTGGTTGGTTTGTCCTTATTGTTTTAGTTGCTCTAAGTGTGATGTTAGGTTGTTAATTTGAGGTCTTTTTAACATTTTTAAAAAATTTCAATAGGTTTATTGGGATCAGGTGGTATTTGATTACATGAATAAGTTCTTTAGTAGTGATTTCTGAGATATTGGTGCACCTATCACCCAAGCAGTGTATACTGTACCCATTGTGTAGTATTTTATTCCTCATTCCCCTCCCGCCCTTTCCCCCATGTCCCCAAAGTCCATTGTATCATTCTTACGCCTTCGTGTCCTCATAGCTTAGCTCCCACGTATGACTGAGGATTTACCATGTTTGGATTTCCATTGTCTAGTTACTTCACTTAGAATAATGGTCTCCAATTCTATTAAGCTTGCTACAAATGCCATTATTTCATTCCTTTTTATGCCTGAGTAGGATTTCATGATGTTTGTGTGTGTGTATATATATATATATATACAAATATATATATACACAAATATTTATATAATTGTGTATATATATACAAATATATATATACACAAATATTTATATAATTGTGTATATATATATCATATTTTCTTTATTTACTTTTTGATTGATGGACATTTGTGCTGGTTCCATATTTTTGCAATTGTAAATTGTGCTGCTATAAACATGCATGTGCAAGTATCGTTTTCATATAATGACTTCCTTTCCTCTGGGTACATACCCAGGAGTGGGATGCTGGATTAAATGGTAGATCTTATTTTAGTTCTTTAAGGAATCTCTACACTGGTTTCCATAGTGGTTATACTAGTTTACATTCCCTCCAACAGAGTAAAAGTTTTCCTTTTTTCACCACATCTGCGCCAAAGTATATTATTTTCTTTATTATAGCCATTCTAGCAGGAGTAAAGTAGTATTGCATTTTGGTTTTCATTTGCATTTCCCTGATAAATAGTGAAGTTAAACATTTTGATATGTTTTTGGCCACTTGTACATCTTCTTTTTAGAATTTTCTACTCATGTCCTTAGCCCACTTTTTGATGGTATTGTTTGTTTTTTGATTGCTGATTTCTTTGAGTTCTTGTAGATTCTAGATATTAGTCCTTTGTCAGATATATAGATTGTGAAGATTTTTCTCCCACTCTGTGAGTTGTCTGTTAGCTCTTCTGACTATTTCTTTGGCTGTGCATAAACTTTTTAGTTTAATTAAGTCCCATCTACTTATCTTTGTTTTGTTGTGTTTGCTTTTGGGTTCTTGGTCATGGAGTCTTTGCCTAAGCCAACGCCTAGGAGGGTTTTTCCAATGTTATCTTCTAGAGTAGAAGGTTTTTTCCATTGTTGTCTTCTAGAATGTTTATGGTTTCAGGTCTTAGAGTTAAGTCTTTGTTCTATTTTCATAGATTTTGGTTTAAGGTGAGAGATGAGAATCCAGTTTCATTCTTCCACATGTGACTTGCCAATTATCCCAGCACCATTTGTTGAATAGGGTGTCCTTTCTCACCTTTATGTGTTTGTTTGCTTTGTTGAAGATCAGTTGGCTGTATTTGGTTTTATTTATGGGTTCTCTATTCTGTGCCATTGGTTTTCCTTGTTGAGGTCTTTCACATCCTTGGTTAGGTAAATTCCTAAGTGTTTTTGTTTTTGTTTTTGTTTCAGCTATTGGGGTTGAGTTCTTGATTTGATTCTCAGTTTCATTGCTGTTGGTGTATAACAGAGCTACTGATTTGTGTACATTAATTTTGCATCCTGAAACTTTGTTGAACTGATTTACCAGTTCTAAGGGTTTTTTGGATGAGTCTTTAGGGTTTTCTAGGTATACGATTGTATCATCAGCAAACAGCAACAGTTTGAATTCATTACCGATTTGGATTACCTTTATTTCTTTCTCTTGTCTGATTGCTCTGGCCAGGACTTCCAGTACTATCTTGAATAGAGGTGGTGAAACTGAACATCCTTGTTTTGTTTCAGTTTTCAGGTGGAATGCTTTCAACTTTTCCCCATTCAGTACAATGTTGGCTGTGGGGTTTTCATAGACGGCTTTTATTACCTTAAGGTATGTCCCTTCTATGCTGATTTTGCTGAGGGTTTTAATCATAAAGAGGTGCTGGATTTTGTCAAACTCTTGTTCTGCATCTATTGACATGATCATGTGATTTTTGTTTCTAATTCTGTTTATGTGGTGTATCACATTTATTGACTTACATATGTTAAACCATCCCTGTGTCCCGGGTATGAAACCCACTTGATCATGGTGGCTTATCTTTTTGATACGCTGTTGGAATCATTTTGGTAGTATTTTGTTGAGAATTTTTACATCTATGCTCATCAGGAATATTGATCTGTAGTTTTCTTTTTTTGTTATATCCTTTTCTGGTTTTGATATTAGGGTTATACTGGCTTCATAAAATTATTTAGAGAGAATTCATTCTTTCTCTATCTTTTGGAATAGTGTCAATAGTATTGGAATCAACTCTTTGAATGTCTGATTGAATTCAGCCATGAATCCATCTGGTTTTGGACATTTTTTGGGGGCAGATAATTTTTTAAATTACCATTTTAATCTTTCTGCTTGTTATTGGTCTGTTCAGAGATCCTCTATCTTTTTGGTTTAATCTAGCAAAGTTGTATATTTCTAAAAATTTATTAATCTCTTCTAGGTTTTCTAGTGTATGTGCATAAAGGTGTTCATAGTAGCCTTGAATAATCTTTTGTATTTCTGTGGTATCAGTTGTAGTTTTTCCCATTTTGTTTCTAATTGAGCTTATTTGGATCTTCTCTCTTCTTGGTTAATCTCATTAACGGTCTATTTCAAAGAAGCAGTTTTTTGTTTCCTTTTTCTTTTGTATTTTTTTTTTCATTTCAATTTCATTTAGTTCTGCTCTGACATTCATTATTTCTTTTCTTCCGCTGGGTTTGGGTTTGGATTGTTCTTGCTTCTACAGTTCCATGAAGTGTGACCTTAGATTGTCTATTTGTGCTCTTTCATGCTTTTTGAGGTAGGCATTTAATGCTATGAACTTTTCTCTTAGCACTGCCTTTGTCATATACCAGAAAATTTGATAAGTTGTGCAATTACTTTGTTCAGTTCAAAGAATTTTTAAATTTCCATCTTGGTTTTATTTTTGACCCAGTGAGCATTCAGGATCAGGTTATTTAATTTCTATGTATTTGCACGGTTACAAAGGTACCTTTTGGAGTTGACTTCCAATTTTATTCCACTGTGGTCCAAGAGAGAACTTGATATAATTTCAGTTTTCTTAAATTTGTTGAAACTTGGTTTGTGGCCTCTCATATGGTCCATCTTGGAGAATGTTCTATGTGCTGATGAATAGAATATATTTTCTGCAGTTGTTGGGTAGAATGTTCTGTAAATATAATATCTGTTCAGTCTATTAATTGTAGGGTATAGATTAAGGTTTTTTTGTTGACTTTCTGTCTTTCTGTCTAGTTCTGTCAGTGGAGTATTGAAATTCCCCATCATTTTTGTGTTGCCATGTATCTCATTTCTTAGAAGCAGTCATTGTTTTATAAATTTGGGAACTCCAGGGGTAGGTGCATATATATTTAAGTTTGTGATATTTTTCTGTTGGACTAGTCCTTTTATCATTATATAATGTCCCTCTTTGTCTTTTTTAGCTACTGTTGCTTTAAAGTTTTTTTTTTTTTTATCTGGTATAGGAATAGCTACTCCTCTGCTTTTGGTGTCCATTTGCATGGATTATCTCTTTCAGCCCCTTTACCTTAAGTTTATGTGAGTCCTTATGTGTCAAGTGAGTCTCTTCAAGACAGTTTGGTTGGTGAATTCTTCTCCATTCTGCCATTCTATATCTTTTATATGAGGGCATTGAGGCCATTTATACTCAGCATTAGTATTGAGATATGAGGTACTATTCTATTCATTGTGCCATTTGTTGTCTGAATACCTTGTTTTTTTTTTCATTGTGTTGTCGTTCTATAGGTCCTGTTAGATTTATGCTGTAAGAACATTCTATTTTGGTGTATTTTGAGGATTTGTTTCAAGATTTAGGGCTCAGTTTGGCAGTTCTTGTAGTGCTGGCTTGGTAGTGGTGAATTCTCTCAGGATTTGTTTTTCTGAAAAAGACTGTATTTTTTTCTTCATTTATAAAGCTTAGTTTTGCCGGATACAAGATTCTTGGCTGATAATTGTTTTGTTTAAGGAAGTTAAAGATAGGGCCTCAATCTCTTCTGGGATTGTAGGGTTTCTTCTGAGAAACCTACTGTTAATCTGATAGGTTTTCCTTTATAGATTACCTGATGCTTTTGCCTCACAGTTCTTAAGATTCTTTCATTTGTCTTGACTTTAGATAACCAGATAACTATGTGCAGATGTGATGATCTTTTTGTGGTGAATTTCCCAGGTGTTCTTTGAACTTCTTGTATTTGAATGTCTAGATCTTTAGCAAGACCAGAGAAGTTTTCATTGATTATTCTCTCAAATATGTAGATAAATATAAACTTTTAGGTTTACATTCTTCCTTGGGAACATCAATTTTTCTTAGGTTTGGTCATTTAACATGATTTCAGACTTCTTGGAGGCTTTGTTCATTTAAAAAATATTTTTTGTCTTTGTCTTTGTCAAACTGGGTTAATATAAAAGTCTTGTCTTCGAACTCTGAAGTTCTTTCTTCTACTTGTTTAATTGTATTGCTGAGACTTTCCAGTGCATTTAGCATTTCTCTAAGTGTGTCCTTCATTTCCAGAAGTTGTGATTATTTTTAAATTTATGCCTTCTATTTCACTGAAGATTTCTTCATTCATATCCTGTATAAATTTCTTTAAGTTGGACTTCACCTTTTCCTGGTACCTCCTTAACAGGCTTAATAGTTGACTTCATGAATTCTTTTTCTGACAATTCAGAGTTCTGTTGTGGTTTGGATACATGGTTGGTGAGCTAGTGTGATCTTTTGGGCATGTTAAAAAAATATTATTTTGTCATGTTACCAGAATTGTTTTTCTGATTGCTTCTCATTTGGGTAGACTATGTCAGAGAGAAGATCTGGAACTCAAGAACTGCTGTTCAGATTATTTGATCCCACAGGGTGCTCCTTTGATGTGGTGCTCTCCCTTTTTCTCTTGTCATGGAGCTTCCTGAGAGCCTAACTGCAGTGACTGTTATTTCTTCTCTGGATCTAGCCACCCGGTAGAGCTACCAGGCTCTGGTCTTGGGGAGTGTCTGCAGAGTCCTGTGATGTGATCTATCTTCATGTCTTTCAGCTGTGGATACCAGCATCTGCACCAATGAAGGTAGCAGAGGAGTGAAGTGGACTCTGTCAAGGTCCTTGGTTTTATATTTGTTAAGTGTGCTGGTTTTGTGTTGGTTGGCCTCCAGCCAGGAGGTGGCACTTTCAAGAGCACATTAGCTGCAGTAGTATAGGGATTATCAGGTGTGGATGGGGCCATAGAGCTCCAAAAAGGTTATGTCATTTGTCTTTGGAGTTCCTTGGTTGTCCTACAGAGGCTGAAGTGGAAATCAACCTCCTTTAAAGAGTTGGTGGATTCTCTCAGCTTTCCTGGTATCTTCCTCTGGTAGTTCTTGGAGCAAAAATTCACAATATGTGTCTCCACACATTGCTCTGTCTGTCCAAGTGGGAGCTGCAAGTTAGTCCTCCTTGCTACCTGCCATCTTTCTCCTTTTTAACTTTTTGATGTGGGTATTCAGCACGAGAACTTGCCTCTTAACAGTACTTTAGCTATGTCTCAGAAATTCTGGTATGTTGTAGCATTGTTTTCATTAGATTTAAATAACTTACTGATTTCTGCCCTAATTTTATTGTTTACCTAAAAGTCTTTCTGGAGCAAATTACTTAACTTCCATGTAATTGTATGGTTTTGAGAGTTTTTTTAGTATTGATTTCTATTTTTATTGCACTGTGATCAAAGAATATGGTTGGTATGAGTTTGGTTTTCTTGAATTTGTTGAGAATTGTTTGATGGCTGAGCATGTGGTCAACTTTAGGGTATGTTCCATATGCAGATGAGAAAGAGGTACAATTCTGCTGTTGTTGGGTGGAAATTTCTTAGGTATGTATTAGGTCCATTTGGTCAAGTGTCAGGTTTAGGTCTTGAATATCTTTGTTAGGTTTCTGCCTTAATGACTTAATAGTGTCAGTGGTGTATCAAATTCTTCCACTATAATTGTGTGGTTACCTAATTCTCTTCGTAAGTCTCTATGAACTTGTTTTATCAATGTAGGTGCTTCAGTGTTGGGTACATATATATTTAAGATGGTTAAGTCTTCTTGTTGAATTGAGCACTTAATAATTAGGTAATGTCATCCTTTGTCTTTTTTGATCATTGTTTGTTTAAAGTCTTGTTTGTCTTAAATTACAGTAGCAACTGCTGCTCTTTTCTGTTTTCTATTTTCTTGGTAGATTTTTCTCCATTCTCTTACTTTGAGCCTATGAGTGTCCTTGAATGTGAGATGGGACTCTTGAAGACAACATACAGTTGGATCTTGTTTCTTTAACCAACTTGCCATTCTGTATCTTTGAAGTGGAGCATTTAGACTGTTTATGTTGAAGGTTAATTTTGATATGTGCACTCTTGATTCTAACATCATATTGTTAGCTGGTTGTTATGCAGACTTGATTGTGAGGCTGCTTTATAGTGTCAATTGTCTGTGTACTTAAATGTGGTTTGTTTAGTTTTGTTTTGTTTTTGGTGCCAATAATCGTCTTTTGTTTTCATGTTTAGCACTCCTTTAAAGACCTCTTGTAAGGCAGGTATGGTGGTAATAGATTCCCTTAGCATTTGCTTGTCTGAAAAGGAGTTTATTTCTCCTTCACTTATGAAATTTGGTTTGGCTGGATATGAAGTCCTTTGTTGGAGTTTCTTTTCTTTAAGGATGCTGAATATAGGCCCCCAATATCTTCTGGGTTGTAGAGTTTCTACTAAAATTTCTGCTTTTAGCCTAATAGGGTTCCCGTTGTAGGTGACCTGCCCCTTCTCTGTAGCATGCCAACAACATGATGACATAATCAAGTGCACAAATATCAATATTAATCTTCAATATTTTTACTTTCATGTTGATGAGAATCTAATGACTATGTGTCTTGAGGATGGTCTTCTTGTATAGTATCTCACAGGGGTTCTCTGAATTTCCTGAAATTGAATGTTGACCACTCTAGCAAAGTTGGGGAAATTTGCATGAACAGTATCCTCAGATATGTTTTCCAAATTACTTGCTCTCTCCCTCTTTCAGGAATGCCAATGAGTTGTAGGATTGGTTTTCTTACATGATTCCATATTTCTCAGAGGTTTTGTTTATTCTTCTTTGTTCTTTTTTATTTTTGTCTGACTCAGATGATTTGAAGAACTGGTCTTTGAGCTCTGAGATTGTTTCTTCATCTTGTTCTATTCTGCTGTTAATACTTCTGATTGTATTATGAAATTATTATGGTAAGTTTTTCAGCTGTATCAGATCAGTTTGGTTCTTTCCTAAAATGGCTATTTTGTCTTTCAACACTTGTATCATTTTACCATATTCTTTAGATTGCTTGGTTTGTATTTCAACTTTCTTTTGAATCTTAATGATCTCCATTGCTATCTGGATTCTGAGTTCTATGTCTGTAATTTCAATAATTTCAGCTGGGTGAAGAATCATTGCTGAAGAGCTAGTGAGGTCATTTGGAGGTAAGAAGATTCCTTGGCTTTTGAGTTACCAAGGTACTTTCACTTGTTCTTTCTCATCTGTGTGAGCTGATTATCATTTAATCTTTGAAGTTGCTGTCCTTTGGATGAGGCTTTTTGCTTTTGTATTACTTGATCTCCCTGAGGGTTTGACTGTGCTGTAAATTGGGTTCAGTTGACTGGCTTAAATTCTGCATAATTTCAGGGGGCCAAGTCTCAGCTCAGCACTCCTGGACTGTGTGCTCTTACTCTGGGTAGGGGAGGAGGTACTGGGACCATGTCCACGGCTTTGTTCTCTAGCTCCTTGAGGTTAAGAACCTACTGGAGGGGCCAAGGTGTCACTAGCCTGCTGGCAACAATCTGATGGATGGTGGTGAAAATAGTGCTTTGTCAGGGCAGTGGCAGTGTGGTCTGTGCTCCCACACATGAGCCACTGGTGGTGAGATGGCAGCATGGCAGCGTCCATATGCACATGTTCCATGGCAGCAACTGTGTGGTGGTGCCTGTGTGTGTGTGCATACATGCTAGTGGCATCAGGGCATTCGAGGTGGTGAGTAGTGTGTGCCACTGATGGTGTGGCATGGCAGGGTATGTACACACACATGTGCTGGCAGGGGCAGGCAAGTTCTATGTGCATCTGCCTTGTTGGCAGTGAGGTTGTGAGGTCTACATACGCATACTAGCAAAGCAGTAGGGGGAGGGGGAAGGTGAGTGCATGATAACAAAGAGGTAGAGGGAGGCCATAGGTGGGTGGGTGTGTGTCAGCAGGGGTCCATCTGCTGGACCTCTCTGATAAGCAGGGTTTGCTGGTGAAGCTCTGGTAGCAGCTGCTTAGGAGGGCCCTGGTTGGGCATGCAAGACTACATGGCAAGTGAGTACAGCAAGGTAGTGACCCTAGGAGAGGCCAGCAGACAGGAGGGTACTCTGATCTGACTGGTCCCATCCCACAGACAAGACAGACTTGCTCTGTCTAGGTTCAATAGTCAATCAAAGCCAAAGCCACCTAGAGGAGCATGGTGAGACTTGGAGGATGGGTATCCCTGGGCATGCTCCATTACAGCTGTTCCTGTGCCAAGCCCTCTGGGCTCCACACAGGCTGGACTCCCTTCCTTGCATCTCTCCAAGTAGCTCTCACTGTCAACTCAAATGTCCATGGCAGTTGTGAGGTCTTAATTGAAGCTAGGATTCCAGAGACCTATCGTGAGAGTAAACCATTCCTTACCTATTAGCACACCCCTTTCCCAGGAGCTGCTTGGGGCCAGGAATGAGTCCTGGTGCTTGGCAGCCCTGTGTAGGGCTCTGATCTTTTTCCTCTTTTAGCCAGGGTCTCTCCCTTCATCCATTCTGAATGGCTTCCCTCCAAAAAGATGCTAGAGTATGCTAGTCTTCTTAGTGGTCTGTTCTCTCAATGGGAGATGCTCTTCCTGGCTACATATATTCAGCTATCTTGGCTCTTCTCTGGAACATTGCTCTATTTCTTTATGTAAGTTTGTTTTAACAAAGTTTGGAAATCAACTAAATCTGTTTTTTCCAAATCCTGCAGTAAAATTGATGTTCTGAAAAGATGGATCATGGGTGTTCTGCTCTTGTGCATCTTTCCTGCACAGAATTGAGGCTGTGCCTACTCCAGTTTCAGAAGCGTGTAATAGTATATTACTTAATCTGGAAAATGGACAGCTTCCTATGTAGGCTCTCAAGAAGCCTGAGAACAGCCAGAAACTTATATACATATCTGTTCTATATATAGATAGACTATATATAGTCTATCTGTTCTTGTGTCTACATCTACTGCAATAATTTTTAATTTTTCATATTGATAAGGTGACACACTGAACATCTTTTTTGTGATTTTAAAATTATCTTAACTATCAAAAGTTTTTCTTATATAGTATAGAGTTTTTCATCAAAATCTGCAAAATTAATGCTGGATTTTTTATTAGAATACATGAAATTTATAAGTTAGTACAAAAATAATATATTAATCATCTGAAATTTTAAATCAGTTGATAGACTAAATATATTATTTATGCACATCTTCTTTGTGCCATATAAAGACACTTTGAAATTATCTATGTAAGCTTTTATGCATGTGTGGCCATAAATACCTATGTGCATTTCATTTTTTTGTTATGATTACAAATTTTATCCAATGGTAACTTCTCATCTATTATATTCCCTAATTGACTATTCTATTATAGGAAAACTATTGCTTGCCCTTGTTCATCCATTTATCTAGTTATCTTTCTGAACTTCACGTTAATTTTAATACTGTTTCTATGAGTGTTACTTATTTTTTCCTGTGTGATTTTCTTAGCCAGAACTTTAGTTCAAAGTTGAAGAGTAGCACATATAGTGGATATCTGTTTTAGTCCTTATCTTAAGGAAATGCTTCTAATGTTTAGAATTATATTAAGTGTATATTTGCTGCAGGTTTTTCTGAAATAATCTTTATAGGCTAAGAGATTTCTTGCCTCATTCTAATATTTTAAGATGCTTTATTACACATGGTGTAGATAGTCATAAAACCTCCTGCTGCCTCTATATTTAATTTCTAGATACAACTTTTCTTCATTTGCCAAAATAAGAGAAATTTCATTAATTTAATTTTATAAAGTTATACCATCCTTATACTTCTGCAATAAACTCTATTTGACATGATTAATTACATTTTAATACATTGAAGATTTGGTTGGCTAAGACATTTAGAATTTTTACAGTCTGGCTTGTAAGTAAAATTAATTTTTATTTGTTGAAATGCTATCAAAAACTTTGGTACACTAGTTTCTTAAATGAGCTCTATTCTCTGCAACTGATATCTATTCCTAACTTGTTGCATTAATATTTTTCCTCATGAAGGTGTTAAAGGTTATAAGTACTACTATTTTTGCCTCCTACTACACAATATCATCATGCTTTCATCTCCTTAATCTTGATATTTATTTTCTGATATTTGTTATATTTTCCTGAAATTTCTTGCATTTAGTCCAAGGGAGGAAGCCACTAACTTGAATGTAGCTCTTCATCTAGTGAAGAATATGAAAGAATGCAGCTAATCAAAAATATAATTTGAATCATTAAGTGAAATTGTAACTATTTTTTATTGTAAATACATTTTTACTTTACTTAAATATATATGTTATGCTCCATGGAAAAGGTACATTCCATTTAAGATGCTTCAAAATGATTTGGATATAGACTCATATTTTCTAATAATTTTTTCATATGTTTCAAGGTGTATTTTCAGGGAAAAAGTTGTGGCTTAAAAGTTTTAGCATGAATTTCAGTGGGAATTGCTCCTTCATCCATATGAAGTTGATGCATATTTAGCTTCCTCTACATTTGTGTAAGATAAATTATTCAAATTGGTAGTTCATATGACCTTGAATATTCAATTCAAACCATACATAAGTCAAACTGTAATACTTTGTTAATTTCCATACTGTTATTTAGTTCTCATTGGCTTCGTAAGACACAAACTGAGTAACTCATATGGAAAATCTTTAATTAGACGGAGTTCAGGCACTAAAAGCAATGAGCATTTTGACAATAGAAATATTAGTTTTTAAAAGATTCTTTGCAAGTCTTTGTAATAAAACCTTTTAATGTATTCTTGATAAACTTAAACAATACAATCATAAACATAGTTTTCAAGAGAAAATATATATATATGTATTAATTTATCTTAAAAAAAAATCCCTGGGTTTACTATTGATAGAAAAGATGACAGGTATTCAAGCTATCCAGATGTGTTAATCAAATCACTGCCTTAAATAATTACATGCAAAAATATAATTATATGCTAAGTAATAAAGTCAAAGAAAACCTTACCTAAAAAAGTATGTACACTACTAGGAGTCAGATATGCAAAGACTTGCATATGCACTTAGAAGTCAGTTTAAAATAGCCACTGGATTGGGCAATAAAATATGAAAATGACTGTTTAGATTGAAAATTCACTATGGCTATTATTATTATTATTTGCAACACAATGAGCTTTAATATACCTTTCACAGACAGTGGTGAATTTTCCTTGGCTTTAAAAAGACTGAGGACATTTTCACTTATCCGAATTCTTTTTATTTTCAGATGCTCTGCCTTTGAATATTTATTAACTTATTATTGATAATTAATTGACAAAAGTAATGAAAAATGAACTATTAGGCATCAGCAGAATAAAAAAAGATTTCTCAAGTATAGTTTTACTCTTTTTGAATGTAATTGAGACTGATAAACTGGTAAGTATATGTCTCTAATTTTTTAGCATCCACTGCACTCTAGACCACAAAATATTTATGCAATGAAAATCTGAATTGACATTTTGACTTACACCATGTTAAGAATATTTCTATAAATATTTTAACATGAAACACTAATTAGATCCAAAAGGAAACTCGGTTTTAATGAAATGGGAAATCTAATTCTTAATGTAAAAAATTAAAAGGAAAGCTTAGTATTGTATTAAAGGGAAACAACTCTTCTTTAAAAGAATATTCTTTGGAAACTTAAGCCTTATATCAATAAGCTTATGATGTGATGTTCATGAATGTGATGCTCATGAATCTATCATATGCTATAAAATTGCTCATAGCAAGGAAACCATAACATGAGGCAAATACATGAAAAAATATATTAGAAAAATATTTGAGTGATTTACCTCTTAGAGTCCTTTTAGGTAAATACATCCATGGAAAAATAGCAATCAGTAATAGCAGTTCCAATTTTTAAAAATTTGTGGAAACTACTATTAATAATTATATATTACATCCCAGTAGACAAGTTAAATAACCCTCTTAGAGTGCTTTTGGAGATCCCCTTTGCACTAGCCTGCTTTAAAAATGTATTCATTTAATAATCTTTCTCTGCTGAATGGTTTAAAAAGAACCCATGTGGTTTTTTTCTATCCAAAAAGTTAACTGAATCAGCTATAAAACTTATGCATAATAATCTTTCAGAAATCCCGTCATCTCTCAAATTAAAAAGAATGATAATGCTACTTTCAATAATATTGCTATTCTAAATAATACAGATACTTTTACACATTGTTTACTATATCCAAAAGTAATTGGAAACAAACTCACTCTTGCCAGCACTTCTGTAACTTCTGAAAGTTAGAAGCAAGTACTCCACTAGATCCAAGTCTCTAAACAGAAGAGCAACAATTTTATTCAAGTGACATAGTCTAAAGTTAGCACAGCTAACGATTATCACACAGCATAACTTTATGAGAGATATTTGTAAGCATGATCAGCTTTAAAACAAAACAGGCACTGATGGTAATGCTAACATCTCTGAAACTCACAGTAAAATTGATTTGGTTTGTACAAATCCTCATTTCACACCACCTGGCAAATTTTTTACGTGTTATGAACTGGGTCAGGAAGACAGGCTGTAACTACTGATATAATTAGATATGTAGATATAATTTGGAACTACTGCTCCCTGATAGTCTTGCAAAGTAAATATTAATAGAAATAATAAATTCATAAATTGATGTCATTTTGCATCTTTTATAACTACTAAGCACATGCTCTGAAAATCACAACCATCTAAATAAATGAACAAATTTTTATATTTCTTTAAGTTTACTATGGGAGGTCCTGATTAACTATTTCTGGATGCTTTACAATTTTCTATGTTGACTGTTTTTCTTCATATTGCTTAGTAAAAAAAAGAAATGAATTTCTTATAAAGGAATATGTGTGAATTTCTATTAGATTGTAACTGTTGACTGACATAGAATTTACTAAGATAATCATGTGATGGTTAAATTTAATGTCAACTTAGCTGGGCCTTGGTGCCCAGATATGTGGTCCAACATTACTCTGGATGTTTCTGTAAGGGTGTTTCTGGATAAGATTAACTTTTAAATCTGTAGACTTTGAGTAAAGCAGTTTGCCTTCCATAATGTGGTTGGACCTCATCTGATCAGTCAAAGGCCTAAATGGAACAAAGACGGGCAAGAGGGCCTTCTGCCATCACTGGCCTTTTGAAATGAATTGTAACATCAACTCTTCCTGGGTCTCTAGCCTGTAGGCCCACCCTGCAAAGTTTAGACTTGCCATCCCTAATCATGCAAGCCAATTCCTTGAAATAAATATCTTTCTATATATACACATATCCTATTGGTTCTGTTTCTCTGGAGAACCCTGACTAATACCCCTCTGGAAAACCCAGATTAATGTGAGCTGCTTAATGGTCACTCACCATCTTTAGCACTGCAAGGCCATTTTGATGCTGGGTGTTCTACAAGCATTAGGCTCTATAAGAAAGAATTTCTAGAACAATTTTCTGGAGCCTTCCTTAAAGACTTGGTGTAATCTTAAATCAAAGCTGATTTGTTGATCACATTTTTGCTGTGATGATGATTTAAGATACAATTCAATAGTTATGAGTTCATAAAACTAGAGATTTTCTTTTCTTTTTTTTCACCTTTTTCGCCTTTTTGACACTTCTTGCCTTCATCCACTAGTGCCCAGCCACATGACATTCTTTTTAGCTATGTCCTTCCTTTGCCCAGGAAGCTTGGTAGACAAATTCAAATGCCTCTGGGAATCAGGTAGTCAATGCAAAAGAGTGAAAGCGCTTCATTACATTTGTATTAAACAAAAAATTATGCCTACTCTATTTTTCTTGGATCACGTGACCCTCTATTTCTATCATTTGTTTTCTCTTTTAGAATAAAGACATAGGTATAGCTAATTTTTTTTCTATTTTAAGAGAGACAATAACATACACATGATGACGAAGGGCAAATTTGGGGGTGGTGGGTGCTATGGGGGGATGGAAATATCATGCTGTTTGAGAACCAGCTAGTTAACTGTACTGAAGTGTTAATGTTAAATTTACAAAAAAGTAAATTATATAAAAATTTGCTCTCTCATAAACCATTCACAAGCTTTCATACTTTATATTTTTAACAAATGACTTACATCAGACTGCAAGATTAACAGTAATGCATCATGTTGTTACAATACTTTGATTAATACCACTATGTCATGTGGGATTTAAGAACCTTAATTATCCATTGGATTTTTCAGCAAATTGAAGCAGATCCAGATTATTTTTCTAAGCCATCTCCTGCAGAGGTGACGTGTTATTTCCTTCTTTTATAGGAGGTTTCTTGCCTGCCTCTAGCATTTTTTTCATCTACCATGCTGCCTTTAAAAAAATTTGAAATCTTCCCTTAACCTACAAATGGTTTCAGAAACATTTAAAAGGGTTTGTAATCCCAAACTTAATAAAAGTGTGATTCCAATAATAGTTTCTATTAATACATTTCTAAAGACTTTTCAGTATATACAATATTATGTTTTTAAAAACTATTATGACATATTATTCTAGCAACTTACTTACATAATTTCATATGGGGATTTCATTTTAACATCTCTCTGCACTAAAAGATATCTTAAGAACTAAGCTTATCCAAATGTTTTATTGGACTGATGATAAATTCAGAGATGTTATTACAGATATTTATAAAGGCTTATTGGAGAATGATCTAAATAGCTTACGAAAGGGTATTTTTGTCTCCTTCTCCCTCCTTCCCTCCCTTACTCTTTCCACCTCTCTGCTTTCATCTCTTCTGCTGCTCTCCTCTCCTTACTTTTAAATTATTTTTCCCATAGCAATTCATTTGTTTTTATCATCTGGGCTCTGTGAATCATATATTTCTCCCTTTCACTGGTAGCTGGCAAAGCTCAAAGCCAAATTTGTGTTCTGCCATATGGAATGTATTTTTAGAAGGAGGCTTTATAGAAATTTTCCTACTCTTCTTTTTAGTTTTCCTTAATTTTATTATTTTTTCATTGCAGAATATATAGATGCATATATATATTTTTATGATGTTCTTAATTTTGGGGGAAAGGCAACTCAGGCCTACAGAAGACAGAAACATCAATGCATAAACACTAGCAGTATAAGAAAATGAGAAGAGGAAGGCCCCATGGGAACAAAAGGATACTTCCCTATTGATATGGTTTAGCTGTATCCCCACCCAAATCTCATCTCGGATTGTAGTTCCTATAATACTCATGTGTCATGGGAGGGACCAGGTGGAGAAAATTGAATCATGGGGGCAGTCTCTCCCATCCTATTCCATCCTATTTTCATGATAGTGAGTTAGTTCTCACAAGATCTGATGGTTTTATAAAAGGCTTCCCCATTCGCTGGGCACTGATTCTGTTTCCTGCCACCCTGTGAAGAGGTGCCTTCTGCCCTAATTGTAAGTTTCCTGAGGCCTCCCCAGCCATGTGGAACTGTGTCAATTAAACCTCTTTTCTTTATAAGTTACCCAGTCTTGGATATGTCCTTACAGCAGTGTGAGAACAAACTAATACACCTATCCAAAGACATTCAAATTGAAATTATTTTACAATAGCATTTTAGAACTCCAAACCAACCAACAGACAATATCCCCGAGACAAATTCAAACTGTGGAAGCATGAGATACTTTCTTCACAGTTTGTGACAAGTAAGCAAACAACTATAATAAATAATTACATAAAGGATAGATGAACAAATAAACAATTCTATAACTTCAAATTTATGTCTCTTTCATCTAATTTTTGTCTTTCCATTGCATTTTTTACCACACTATTGAGGATGGACTAATTATAAAACATAAAATAGTCTTTAATTGCTCCCACTATCTCTAGTCTCTAACTTACCTAATCCTTTTTACACACCGATGTCATCTTGATTTCAGTTCTTTGTATTCCTAGCATCACATGTTCCCCTAATAAAGCGCTTCTTTAAATTTTTTTCACAAATCATGTCTCCTGTGATATCATCTAGTATGTGTTTTTTGACACTCCCCTTTGTTTTAAACTCCATATTCAATCTTGCCGAATCTTTTTTGCTATATCTTTGAAATATATCCAGGATCAACTGTACTCTCTGTTGCCTGAATCTTTGCAACAGCACCCTAACTGATGTCTTTGCTGCCTACTTTGTTCTCTTACAATTTATTTTCTAGTAGAAGCTAGTAGAAGTCAGAGTAGTCAATATCCAGAAATATTATTTTGTAATGGTAAAATATTTACCATTTCAAATGCAGAAAATAGAAAAGTGGTATATAGAAAAGCTGATCTCTCATTTGCCTAGTTCCTACTCCCTTCCCCATAAGTATCCTTCTTCTTAGATCTTATGTATTCTTTAACATTTATTTTTTGAATTTGCTGGCAAATATAAATGTAGTTTTTTGGGCATATTTTATATTTATTTTTTGCATAATATCACACTAGTTTAAGCAATAAATCTGAACTTTAGAGAAATTTTTCTATTACTACATACAGTATACTTTCCTTCTTTTTTACAGTTACCTTATATTGAGTTGCATATTTGCAATAAAATTGGCATCTTATTCCTTTTTGATATATATTTAGTATGTTGCCACATCTGCTATTACAAGTAATGCTGCAATCTTTCAATATCTGTAGTGTAAAAAAAGATGATAAATCTGTATCTTTGAAAAAGGGTATTTTCATCTAAAATTTTCACAGATGTGGTCAAGTTGGCCTTCATGGAAGTTATACCTACTTATGCTCAGTAAAGGATGAGAGCTCATAGTTCCCCACACATTCACCAATTACAGTGTGTTATCAAATTTTAGGATTATTGACATGTAATGCCTCACAGAGTGTTTTGTAGTTAGTAGGTGCTCAATAGTGCTTTTTGGAATAAATTGATAGATATATCTGTTAAGATTTGCTTCAGATAGGACAAGCTACTTCTGGATTATTAACTCTAAGTTTCCTCTATATATTTCAATAAATGTAGAAACACAGGCAGTGGAGATAAAACCAAAATATGCGGATTAATGGAGAGGCAGGTTATTTCAATTTCAGAAGGTATTGATAACGGGATTACCCTAATTAGGCTCAGGTTTATTTTTCATTATCTGAATTTAGAGAAAGCAAAATGAGGTGTATCTTTAATCAGTTGTATACGAACAGAGAGCAGCAACAAAAACTATGGATGTGGGGACAGGAAGACCTGGCTTTGTGTTTGAGCAAACTAATTTACAAAACCATAACAATTAATGTTTATAAATGCATATCACGTTTCGTTTCAGGGACCAAGATAAGTTCTTTACAATCATCATCTTATAGTATTTTTATAAATAGGTAGGTAATATTATTAAATCCATTTTGCAGATGTAGAAACTGACTTTTAGAATGACTAAGTCATCTAGCTTGCCACAAACACTAAAACTATATGTGTATATATTTCCTTCCTATTTCAGGAAAGTTAAAACATTTGAACTTTCATAATTCATTAGTTTGCTATTATAGTTGCTGCATTATGTTTCTCTTCCTATGACACATGATATTTTATAAGATTTTGATTGAATGTCAACCTGATTTGATAGCATATATGCTCCAGTGGCCTATTTTCCATTTGGTAAACCTAAAGAGGAGTGGAGTTATCAGACTAAACCCACCTTCATTTACATTACTTCAACAGGTAGAATAAATTGTGTGTTTTAAATTTCCTGTTTCATAAAAACAAAAAATGATCTGGCAGGTGATGTGGATTTATATTTCTTTTGTGAATGTGTGTGTTCACTGGGAGATAATTATATTTTCATCTGATCCTTTTCAATATAACTGTTCTTATCCTATATTATGATTTGCCTTTCTATTATTTATTTTGTGGTAATTTAATATAAGTTGTTACCATGTTTTATTCTGGGAAAGATTCCCAAAACTACAGATTTTATATCTAGAATAGGCACAGGCTTAATATGTACACTCAGTTTTTTTTTTTTTGCTTTTAGTTTTTTCTATTCAAAAGGTACAATATTTGCCTAAACAGGAATTGTAAGAATTCAAAACTTCTGTTGCACTTTTAGAAATATTATGGATCTGTTTTGAAAAATATGTCCTTTCATAATAATTTGCTACCTGTATAAAAAGCATATAATAAAAACACATTTATTTTTTGCTCTATGGATTGCTTTTTGATCTCTTGCTATCTTTTTTTAAAATTAAATTTTTCCAGAGGCAGAGTCTCACTCCATCGCTTAGGCTAGGGTGCAATGGTGCGGTCATAACTCACTGCCGCCTCAAACTTCTGGGCTGGGTATCATTAATTTACAGCTTTAATATACAAAAATAATAATCTTAGGTAGTTGTTAAAATCTACCTTAATATTGTAAATAATAGAAAACCAAAGTAATATAGAACATAACTGGACAGCAGAAAGAAAAATACATTAAACATAGGAGTTTGGTTTAAAATAGTAACTTTCATTAATGTGCCTCTCAATCTATCAAGATTTTTCTACCCACGTGGGTTTGGTAGTGTGGGATACAATCCACATTTTTAAAAGAATGGGAAGATTGTCTGTTATTTGTATGATACTAAAGCAATTTCTGAGAAATATAGATTCCAGTGTAGATTATACTTTCCCCCTTTATGCTTACTACACTTATACTAGTAAAATTAGTTTATTTGTTTTTTAATCAGGTACAGTCTTGAAGGAAAAAGAAGAAAGGAATTGTTGTCCTAAACCCAGCCTGCAGCCCGAGAGGTCAGTGTAAAAGACTGGAGGAATCAGTATTCTGGGATGTACAATCTCCTGCAATGCGGAGAAACCCTCCTCCAGGTTCATCTGCTGTCTCCAAAGGCTGGGTGCCTTGGCAGTTCAACTTAACGTCATGTGGTCATTTGTTAATTATGAGAAGCCACTGATTTTATAGCAAGCCCATGAGAAACTGTTATGAATATTTATTTAGAAAATGAGAACAAACTTTTAACAAATTTGTATGCTAGATTTTAAAACCATCTTATAAAATTAATGTAGTGCCTGATATTTCATAAGATGTTTAGACTACCATTTAAAATAGCAAGACTGATTTTTCATGTGATTCATAAACTCATTTGTGCTAAATTAATGTTTTATGGACATAGTTAAGTGACATTTTTTTCCAACAGAAAGCAAAGCATCCTTATGTTCTCATCATACCTTCACATGTGCTTCCATGAATACTGATATCATTAACATTCTGGATTTCCAGAGAAATCCTCTATCTCTTTCTTCATAGAATAGAAAGAATCTCCATGTAAATTCAGGATACCTGATTATCCTTTACATGTTGACTTTTTCTTTTTTTAATTTAGCATATGTAGGAACAGTTCTATTGCATTGTAAAAAAGGGGCCAAATGAATTTAAAAAATAAATGCTGATATGGTAGAAGTAATGCAAAAAAAGTTAAGCTATATAAAAGGAAAACTACATTATAAGATTTACAGAAGGTACTGTATATGCTTCTCATATATTCATAAAATCTGTTAAACATAATTACATTGAGAAATTTCTAATTGAATATTTATTTCTTTTCCCTCCACTTTGTTTTTTAAATAAGAATATACCTTTAGGTTAGATTCAGTTTTGTGGGGCCTAGACGGATACAGTTTTGCAAGATGGGCATTTACAAGAATACACTTTATTACTTAGAGCAGTTTTAGGTTCACAGTAAACTTAGGAGGAAGCTACAGACATTTCCCTTATGGCCCCTGCTTCCACACACGTGTAGCCTTTCCCATTATCAATATCCTCTGCCAGATGTGTACAAGTTTTACACTTGAGAAACCTACGTTGACACCTAATTTATTGGAGTAGGCATTTTTCATGGGTAAAAACAAAAATCCCCGCACTTTTGCAAATTTTTGAAAACCATATGGACCATGTGAACACATTGTTAGGATCCTCCCAGTCTTGGAGGAGGCTCAGGATGGTGCAGGGCTATCAGGTGTCAGCGTCATTAGCTTCTTGGTCAATCTGCTTCTGCATGCCATTAGAAAGAACATCCTATACCATTAAAACAAAAAGGTCACTTTTTCTAATTGGCCTTCAGATTACACCAACTTACATACCCTCTGGCAGAAGGTATCAGAACGTATATGGGTATACGTTTCATGGGTATCTTACAAGGATATATAATTCCTGTGTGTTGTTTAATGTTCAATATATAACTAATTAAAAACCTATTGATTAACTGAATTATTCTAAGTTCTTGATTATTCTATTTATCTTTGGTAAGTTTTTAGAATCAGAATGTTATATATCCCAGTAAAACTGAGTTTATATCAATTTTTGTTATTTCTGCCAACTTTCTTTTTGTGTAACTTAATGCAAAGATATTTGGTGTATAATGATTTTAAAATATATATTTTTATTTTTTATTTATTTATTTTTTGAGACAGAGTTTTTTGCTCTGTTGCCCAAGGCTGGAGTGCAGTGGCACAATCTTGGGTCACTGCAACCTCTCCACCTCCGGTGTTCAAATGATTCTCCTGACTCAGCCTCCAGAGTAGCTGTAATTATGGGTGCGCACCACCATGCCTGGCTAATTTTCGTATTTTTAGTAGAGACGGGGTTTCACCATGTTGGCCAGGCTGGTCTTGAACTCCTGACTTCAGGTGATCCACCCCCCACTTGGCCTCACAAAGTGCTGCGGTTACAGGCATGAGCCACCATGCCTGGCTTAAATACATATTTTTTTTGAATTTTGTTTTTATTTTAAAATACTGACCCTTTTAAACCAATGTAATATTTTTGTCTTTGAAAAATCATTTGCGTGAATATAACATATTCATTTTTTGAATATGTAATATTTTTGTCTTTGAAAAATCATTTGCGTGAATATAACATATTCATTTTTTGAATATACAACTCCTATACAGAGTGTGTAATTAGTTTTTCCAAACTCAGGCAAAACATTCCCAGGTAGTGAAGTATGTGGTGAAACTAGAAAATTCCATGGGCAGGAGTGCTTTGCTGAATTTTCTTTTATGTAAAGTGAATTTCTTGATGAGAAAAAATGTGACATGGAATGCCATGAGAGTGAACTATGCTTTTGAAATCCACAAATGCTGGCGATTGCAAAGACAGAAAAGGCAGAAAAGACAATGCAAATAGAGAATATGTGTGTCTATTCCAGTAAGGGTGAATCTGTGCTCTGGCTGTGATGGAAGAGGTCCCTATAATCGAACTGCAGGCAGGTGTATGGCTGGTACACTTGGGAAATGGTGCCCGATCTACTGGTTTTGACATACTTTAAAATGGTATTAAGTAACAATGTGTACATTCAAGTATAGAGATTAAGATGGGGACAAAAAGAAAAGAATTGAGAATCCCTAGAGCAGGTGAGATCCAAGAAGGAGGAATAGGGAGCCCACAAGGCTTAGTTTTGGAGAAAGAAACAGAGAAAGCAGAGATTGATGGCTGTAGGCTAAGAATAGAGAGTAAGAGGATCGTTAAAAAACAAAACCAAAAGTGTGTGTTTTGTTAGTAAATTCCTTTTAGGTCTTTTATAATGGTAAAATCTCTATGGATTGCTACTGGTTCTTGTGATGAGGAGCTTTGTGTGTGTGTGTGTTGGGATGATGGTGGGAGCAGGAGGTGTTAAGAACATGAAGAGACCAATAAAGAGGCTTTTAGTTTTTATAGAGAGAAAGTCAATTGCTCCTAAGTCTCACACAGAAATGGGAAAATATACACAATTCATTCGTTTGCCGAAGGCCTAACATTGTCAGCTTGCTTGGAAGTCCTCTGGCTTTTGTTTAATCTGTATCCTGACCTGGAACTGAGGTGGACTCAGATGGAAATGAGGAACTGGTTGGGAACTGGGACCCTGTGGGAAGTGAAAAAGATGAAAAAGGAAACAAAAAGTGGAAGAGGCAAGGACAAGAAGAGGGGAGGAAGAGAGAGAAAACAATGAATGAGATCAATGTTCCAACATTTATGCTGGAAAGAAGTATTAAAAAAGTAGTAAAATCCAAAGTGATTAATTTTTTGTACACTGTCAGTATGGAGACATTTATTTTAAAATGTGGGTTAACCTTTTAAGCCAGGTGTCACTCCCAATACATATCCATTGCATGTGTCCCCATTATTAGGAGGATATGGTCCTGATAATTTGCAAAAGGTGACTGTGAAGGTTATGTCTTTGACTGGCAGTTGCAGATTGGTTTGTCTGCTATAGTAATACCATCTCTGAGTGAATGACATGTAGCAGCTGCACCTACTCACTCTGCCTGTTCTCTAGTGTCACTGGCTTTCCCAGGGTTTTGTCTCCTCTTACTTTCTGTGTTTATGGATACAATTTTATTTATACTATTACATTTTTAGGATGAAATGGTCATCATTTTTTTTTAGTTGCTGTGTCCTAGTGTCTCTTCCCTCTGATATTTCTCAGAAAACTTTGATAATTAAATCAGTAGTGAGCAACACAGCTATATTTTACTGTATTTGATTAAATCAATATCAAGAGCATCCTGAACAGTCACCTAAAAAGAAAACATCAGTTTAATCCCCCCCATATATGATTTTTTCATTAAACTGACAATTAATTTAGTTATTTATAAGCATTTTGTTAATTTGAAGTAATATCCCTATCTTCAAAATTATCATGGTTTTTATCTTATATAATTATCAGCAAATAATTATCTTTTTAAGAAGAATACATTAAATAATTATTTGACATTGAGCTATGTATTGTTTAACTAGTACAAATAAAAAATATCAGCTTATTTAAACTGGGCAAAATAAAAAATGTTAAGCGATAGTCTGGGTGTGGTGTCTCATGCCTGTAATCCCAGCACATTGGGAGGCCAAGGTGAGAGAATCGTTTGAACTCAGGAGTTCGAGACCAGCCTGGGCAACGTAGGCAGACACTGTTCCTAAAAATAAAAATTTAGTTGGGCATGGTGGTTGATATGGTTTGGCTGTGTTCCCATCCAAATATCATCTTGAATTCCCACATGTGTGGGAGGGACCCAGTGGGGGATGATTGAATCATGGGGCCCATCCTTCTAGTGCTATTCTCATGATAGTGAATAAGTCTCATGAGATCTGATGGTTTTAAAAATGGGAGTTTCCCTGCACATGCTCTCTCTCTTTGCCTGCTGACATTCATGTAACATGTGACTTGCTCCTCTCTGCCTTCTGCCATGTTTGTGAGGCCTCCCCAGCCATGTGGAACTGTGAATCCATTAAACCTCTTTCTTTTGTAAATTGCCCAGTCTTGGGTATGCCTTTATCAGCAGCATGCAAATGGACTAATACAGTAAATTGGTACTAGTAGAGTGGGGCATTGCTGAAAAGATACCCAAAAATGTGGAAGAGACTTTGGAACTGGCTAACAGGCAGTGATTGAAACAGTTTGGAGGGCTCAGAAGACAGGAAATGTGGGAAAGTTTGGAACTTCCTAGAGACTTGCTGAATGCCTTTGCCCAAAATGCTGATAGCAATGTGGACAATAAAGTCTAGGCTGAGGTGGTCTCAGATGGAAATGAGGAACTGGTTGGGAACTGGAGCAAGGTGATTATTTTTATGTTTTAGCAAAGAGACTGATGGCATTTTGCCCCTGCCCTAGAGATTTGTGGAACTTTGAACTTGAGAGAGATAATTTGGGGTGTCTGGCAGAAGAAATTTCTAAGCAAGAAAGCATTCAACAGGTGACTTTGGTGCTGTTTAAGGCACCAAAGGGAAAGGGAAACAGAGCATAAAAGTTAGGAAAATTTGCAGCCTGACAATGCAATAGAAAAGAAAAATCTCTTTTTCTGACCAGAAATTAAAGCTGGCTACAAAACTTTGCATAAGTAATGATAAGTCAAATGTCAATCACCAAAACTATGGGGAAAATGTCTCCAGGACATGTCAGAGACCTTTGCATCAGCCCCTCCTATCACAGGCCTGGAGGCCTAGGAGGTAAAAATAGTTTTGTGGGTAGGGTCAAGGGCCTTTCTGCTGTGTGCAGCCTAGAGACTTGGTGCCCTGGGTTCCAGCCACTCTAGCTTTGGCTAAAAGGGGCCAAGGTACAGCTTGGGCTATGACTTCAGAGGGTGCAAGCCCCAAGCTTTGGCAGCTTCCACGTGGTATTGAGCCTGTGAGTGCACAGAAGTCAAGAATTGGGGTTAGGGAACCTCCGCCTAGATTTCAGAAGAGGTATGGAAATAGCTGGATGCCCAGGCAGAAGTTTGCTGCAGGGGTGATACCCTCATGGAGGACCTCTGCTAGGGCAGTGTGGAAGGGAATGTGGGGTCGGAGCCCCCACACAGAGTCCCCAGTGGGGCACTGCCTAGTGGAGTTGTGAGAAGAGGGACACAATTCTCCAGACCCCAAAATGGTAGATCCCTGACAGCTTGCACCATGCACCTGGAAAAGCTGCAGACACTCAACACCAGCCTGTGAAGGCAACAAGGAAGAAGGCTGTACCCTGAAAAGCCACAGGGGTAGAGCTGCCCAAGACAGTGGGAGCCCACCTCTTGCATCAGCATGACCCTTATGTGAGACATGGAGTCAAAGGAGATCATTTTGAAACCTTAAGATTTGACTGCCCCACTGGATTTCAGACTTGCATGGGTCCTGTAGCTTCTTTGTTTTGGCCAATTTCTCCCATTTGGAATGGCTGTATTTACCTCATGCCTGTACCCCCATTGTATCTGGGAAGTAACTAAACTGCTTTTGATTTTACAGGCTCATAGGTGGAAGATACTTGCCTTGTCTCAGATGAGTCTTTGGACTCTGGACTTTAGAGTTAATGTTGAAATGAGTTAAGACTTTGGAGGACTTTAGGGAAGGCATAATAGGTTTTGAAATGAGAGGACATGAGATTTGGGAGGGGCCACTGGTGGAATGATGTGGTTTGGCTGTGCCCCCACCCAAATCTCATCTTGAATTCCCATGTGTTGTGGGAGGTACCCAGTGGGAGGTAATTGAATCATGGGGGCAGGTCTTTCCTGTGCTGTTCTTGTGATAGTGAATAAGTGTCATGAGATCTGATGGTTTTAAACATGGGAGGCCCCTGCACATGCTCTCTCACTTTGCCTGTTGCCATCCATGTAAGACATGACTTGCTCTTCCTTGCCTTCCACAATGATTGCGAGGCTTCTACAGCCACATGGAACTGTAAGTCCATTAAACCTCTTTCTTTTGTAAATTGCCCAGGCTTGGGTATGTCTTTATTAGCAGCGTGAAAACGGACTAATACAGTGGTGCACGACTGTGATTCTCGCTACTGGGAAAGGGTACATAGGAGGATCACTTGAGCATGGGAGGTTGACATTGCAGCAAGCCATAATTGTGCCACTGCACTGCAGCCTGGATGACAGAGCAAGATCCTGTCTCAAAACAAAAATTATATGTTCCACATAGTTTATAGAAATTTCCAATTTTTAGGAGGAATTCTATTTTTTCATTTTTTTTTTTTATCATTCTCAGGTGATTTTTATTTTGGGGAAACAACATGACAAACACTTTTTTTTTTTTTGAGATGGAGTCTTGTTCTGTCGCCCAGGCTGGAGTGCAGTGGCACGATCTTGGCTCACTGTCACCTCTGCCTCCTGGGTTCAAGCGATTCTCCTCCCTCAGCCTCCTTAGTAGCTGGGATTACAGGCATGCACCACCACGCCCGGCTAAATTTTTGTATTTTTAGTATAGACGGGGTTTCACCATGTTGGTCAGGCTGGTCTCCAACTCCTGACCTCGTGATCCACCCACCTCGGTCTCCCAAAGTGCTGGGATAACAGGCATGAGCCATTGTGCCCGGCCAACAAACACTTTTTTTTTTTTTTGAGATGGAGTCTCACTCTGTCGCCCAGGCTGGAGTGCAATGGCCTGACCTCGGCTCACTGCAACCTCTGCCTCCCGGGTTCAATTGATTCTCCTGCCTCAGCCTCCTGAGTAGCTACAGGTGTGTGCCACCATGCCTGGATAATTTTGGGTATTTTTAGTAGAGACAGGCTTTCACTGTGTTAGCCAGGATGGTCTCAATCTCCTGACCTCGTGATCCGCCCACCTTGGCCTCCCAAAGTGCTGGGATTACAGGTGTGAGCCACCGTGCCTGGCCGACAAACACTTTTTTAAAGGCTAATTTGAATGCTGTAGATATGAATGCTGGGGCTGCCCAGAATTTACAACTTAAATTACTTTAGTCGTTTAGGTCTTTGCAGCTTTACCTGCAAACTGGTGATAATAGCAGATGTCTCACAGGGTTAATAAGAAAATTCAATAAGAACAAACAAAACTCTACCCAGAATATGAGGCACATATTAGGTGATAAATACATAATGTTATATATGACTATCCTGGACGAATTTAGCAAATGATATGAGAAAACCTTAGCATAGTGTAATTTGTAACCCTGTAATGAAAATCTAGAAATATTCTAGTCACTGGAATTCTACAATTAATGGATTTTGTGACATAAGTTATGCAATTACTCTACATTTTAGTTTCCTCACTGGGAAAGTAAGGATAAAAATGGCAACAACATTATAGGGTTACTGTAAAAAAGAATAAAGTTCATGACCACAAAATATGTGGAGAAGGGATGGGCTTATGCATTATATAATCATTTGAGGATTATATAAGAATTTGTTAAATAAATTAGTTAATGAATAGGGTAGAAATTTCACTACTGAATAAATAAATGACATAATGAAATTGTTCATCAAAATAAATTTTTACATTATATATTTCTAGATTAAGAACTACTTTGCAGTGACTTATCTCATTTACACATATTTACTATCTTTTGGTCAGACAGATATTGTTTATCTGGAGTAGGTACAAATTTCTATGCTCCTTACTATAACCTTACTGCTTAAAATACGATCCCAGACTAAAGGTAGCAGCATTATGCAAAATATCAGCACCCACCCAGCACAACTTAATTAGAATCTATGTTGTGACAGTTTCTCCAGGTGTTCTGAATGTATTACTTTAAAGTATATGTCCCTAATATACCATTTTTCATAAAAAATAAAGAGGAATACATGATTAGAAAAAACACAATAGAGTGTCATACATTTTTATTTGTAAGAATATTTATGTTTAAACAACACACAAAGAATATATAAATTAAAATCTTATAGTAATTTATTCTAACTATAGCTGTATTTTTCTAATTTCTCCTTTTTTTCTCTGATTATTATAACAAAATCAATATGATTTATTATTACTGGTAATATTTGGCAGACTTTTTTATATTCTATATTGTTTTTAATGAAGAAGTATAGGCAAAACATCTTCAAGACAGATGTACTTAATTTTATATTTCTGAGGCGGTGTATAATTGTAGGAATTGGAAGATTGAAAATCACTGTGGGACATAGGGCTGCTTGAAGGTGAATGAGTGTCCTTTACAACATAGCTTCTTGCAATGAAAAAACAAACAAACAAACAAAAAACAAACAAACAAAAAGCCCCTATGGCAATACATTAATAGGCTTGAAAGCACACTTGCCAATTTTAACCCAATAGTCACTGGTCCTGTGAGTGATGAAGTCTACTTGCTTGAGAGTTGAATGGAGACAGCATTTATATTATTTGCCCATGGGTCAAATCACATAATCCACTAGAATGCTTAGATTCCAGGCCTGTCTTAACTTAGATATGTGAAGTCAGTCTAGGACTTGATAATTAATAAACATGTGGCAAAATATTATGACAGATATCACCCACATGCACACATATAACATATGCTTTCCTTAGAAGCTATGATAATGTGGTTGACCTACATTATGGTATATCATGGTAGGTAACCCCTGTGCAATTTTGTGTTTTGCTGCTGAGAATTTGATGAAGATTTGTAAAATTTTGTGTTGTGTTACTAAGGATTCAATGAAGATTTATAAAATTCCTGTTGATAACCGGACAGTTTCCTTAGGTTTGAAGATATCTCAGACACTTTATGAGGTTGATTTTCTACTTAAAAAAATTATTTTAGGGCAAATTTATATTTTTCAGAAAAAATTCTGCTATAATGCACTTTGTATATTAAAAACAGTCCAGGTGTAGGCACTAAAGGCTATGAATTTTCCTCTTAGCAATAACTCTACTGTTTCCCAGAGGTTTTGATAGATTGTGTTACCATTATCATTCAGTTAAAATAGTATTTTTTTTTTTTTTTTTTTTTTTTTAGCCAGAGTCTCACTCTGTCACCAGGCTGGAGTGCAGTGGCATGATCTTGGCTCACTGCAACTTCTGCCACCCAGGTTCAAGTGATTCTCCTGCCTCAGCCTCCCAACTAGCTGAGACTACAGGCACACGCCACCATGCCCAGCTAATTTTTTTGTGGTTTTAGAAGAGACGGGGTTTCACCATGTTGGCCAGGATGGTCTCGATCTCTTGACCTCATGATCTGCCCACCTCAGCCTCCCAAAGTGCTGGGATTATAGGCGTGAGCCACCGCGCCTCAGCCTCCTGAGTAGCTGGGACTACAGGCACGTGCCACCACACCTAGCTAATTTTTTTGTATTTTTAGTAGAGACCGGATTTCACCATGTTGGCCAGGGTGCAGGATGGTCTCCATCTCTTGACTTTGTGATCCACCCACCTCCGCCTCCTAAACTGCTTGGATTACAGACATGAGCCACTGCACTTGGCAAAAGAATTTTTTAATTTCTAGCTTGATTTCATTGTTGACCCAATGATAATTCAAGAGTAAGTTATTTAATTTCCATGTATTTGCATGGTTTTGAGGGTTCCTTTTGGAGTTGATTTCCAATTTTATTCCACTGTGGTCTGATACTTGATATAATTTCAATTTTCTTATATTTACTGAGACTTGTTTTGTGGCCTATCATATGGTCTACCTTGGATAAAGTTCCATGCACTGATGAATAGAATTTGTATTCCCCGACTATTTTGTAGAATGTTCTGTAAATATTTGTTAAGTCCACTTGTTCTAGGGTATAATTTAATCCATTGTTTATTTGTTGACTTCCTGTCTTGATGACCTGTCTAATGCTGTTAATGTAATATTGAACTCCCCCACTGTTATTGTGTTGCAATCTATCTCATTTCTTAGGTCTAGTAGTAATAATTGTTTTATAAATTTGGGGGCTCCAGTGTTAGATGCATATATATTTAAGATAGTGATATTTTCCTTTGGACATGGCCCTCTATCATTATATAATGTTTCTCTTTGTCTTTTTAACTGCTGTTGCTTTAGTTTGTTTTGTCTCATATAAGAATAGCTACTCCTGCTTGCTTTTGATGTCCATTTGCATGAAATGTCTTTTTCCACCTCTTTATGTTAAGTGTATGTGAGTTCTTATTTGTTAGGTGAGTCTCTTGAAGGCAGCAGATACTTGGTTGGTGAACTCTTATCTATTCTGCAATTCTGTATCATTTAAGTGGAGCATTCAGGCCACTTACATTCAATGTTAGTATTGAGATGTGAAGTACTGTTCCATTCATTGTGCTATTTGTTGCCTGTATACCTTGGGTTTTTTAATTGTATTTTTGTTTTATAGGTCCTATGAGATTTTAAAGGGTTTATGTTTTGATGTGTTTCCAGGAATTGTTTCAAGATTTAGAGCTCCTTTTAGCAGTTCTTACGGTGCTGGCTTGTTAGTGATGAACTCTCTCAGTCTTTGTCAGGAAAAGACTATGTTTCCTTCATTTATAAAACTTAGTTTTTCTGGATACAAAATTCTTGGCTTATCATTGCTTTGTTTATGGAGGCTAAAGATAGGGCTTCAATCCCTTCTAGCTTGTAGGGTTTCTGCTGAGTAATCTGCTGTTAATCTGATAGATTTTCCTTTATAGATTACCTGTTGCTGTTGCCTCACAGCTAGTAAGATTCTTTCTTCATCTTGACTTTAATCTCTAGTAAGGCTGGGAAAGTTTTCTTTGATTATTCCCCTAAATATGTTTTCCAAACTTTTAGATGCAGAAAAAATAAAATACTTCGGAATATACCTAACCAAGGAGGTGAAAGACCTCTACAAGGAAAACCTCAAAACACTGCTGAAAGAAATCATAGATGACACAAACAAATGGAAACACGTTCCATGCTCATGGATGGGTAGAAAGAATATTGTAAAAATGATCATAGTGACAAAAGCAATCTACAAATTCAATGCAACTCCCATTAAAATACCACCATCATATGAACTTTAAAGTAGTTTTTTCCAATTCTGTGAAGAAAGGCATTGGTAGCTTGATGGGGATGGCATTGAATCTGTAAATTACCTTGGGCAGTATGGCCATTTTCATGATATTGATTCTTCCTACCCATGAGCATGGAATGTTCTTCCATTTGTTTGTATCCTCTTTTATTTCCTTGAGCAGTGGTTTGTAGTTCTCCTTGAAGAGGTCCTTCACATCCCTTGTAAGTTGGATTCCTAGGTATTTTATTCTCTTTGAAGCAATTGTGAATGGGAGTTCACTCATGATTTGGCTCTCTGTTTGTCTGTTGTTGGTGTATAGGAATGCTTATGATTTTTGCACATTGATTTTGTATCCTGACACTTTGCTGAAGTTGCTTATCAGCTTAAGGAGATTTTGGGCTGAGACAATGGGGTTTTCTAGATATACAATCATGTCATCTGCAAACAGGGACAATTTGACTTCCTCTTTTCCTAACTGAATACACTTTATTTCCTTCTCCTGCCTAATTGCCCTGGCCAGAACTTCCAACACTATGTTGAATAGGAGTGGTGAGAGAGGGCATCCCTGTCTTGTGCCAGTTTTCAAAGGGAATGCTTCCAGTTTTTGCCCATTCAGTATGATATTGGCTGTGGGTTTGTCATAGATAGCTCTTATTATTTTGAAATATGTCCCATCAGTACCTAATTTATTGAGAGTTTTTAGCATGAAAGGTTGTTGAATTTTGTCAAAGGCCTTTTCTGCATTTATTGAGATAATCATGTGGTTTTTGTCTTTGGCTCTGTTTATATGCTGGATTACATTTATTGATTTGCATATATTGAACCAGCCTTGCATCCCAGGGATGAAGCCCACTACCTTAAAGTTCATATGGAACCAAAAAGGAGCCTACATCACCAAGTCAATCCTAAGCCAAAAGAACAAAGCTGGAGGCATCACACTACCTGACTTCAAACTATACTACAAGGCTACAGTAACCAAAACAGCATGGTACTGGTACCAAAACAGAGATATAGATCAATGGAACAGAACAGAGCCCTCAGAAATAACGCCGCATATCTACAACTATCTGATCTTTGACAAACCTGAGAAAAACAAGCAATGGGGAAAGGATTCCCTATTTAATAAATGGTGCTGGGAAAACTGGCTAGCCATATGTAGAAAGCTGAAACTGGATCCCTTCCTTACACCTTATACAAAAATCAATTCAAGATGGATTAAAGACTTAAACGTTAGACCTAAAACCGTAAAAACACTAGAAGAAAACCTAGGCATTACCATTCAGGACATAGGCATGGGCAAGGACTTCATGTCTAAAACACCAAAAGCAACGGCAACAAAAGACAAAATTGACAAATGGGATCTAATTAAACTAAAGAACTTCTGCACAGCAAAACAAACTACCATCAGAGTGAACAGGCAACCTACAGAATGGGAGAAAATTTTCACAACCTACTCATCCAACAAAGGACTAATATGCAGAATCTACAATGAACTCAAACAAATTTACAAGTAAAAAGCAAACAACCCCATCAAAAAGTGGGCGAAGGACATGAACAGACACTTCTCAAAAGAAGACATTTATGCAGCCAAAAAACACATGAAAAAATGCTCACCATCACTGGCCATCAGAGAAATGCAAATCAAAACCACAATGAGATACCATCTCACACCAGTTAGAATGGCAATCATTAAAAAGTCAGGAAACAACAAGTGCTGGAGAGGATGTGGAGAAATAGGAACACTTTTACACTGTTGGTGGGACTGTCAACTAGTTCAACCATTGTGGAAGTCAGTGTGGCAATTCCTCAGGGATCTAGAACTGGAAATACCATTTGACCCAGCCATCCCATTACTGAGTATATACCCAAAGGACTATAAATCATGCTGCTATAAAGACACATGCACCCATATGTTTATTGCAGCATTATTCACAATAGCAAAGACTTGGAACCAACCCAAATGTCCAACAATGATAGACTGGATTAAGAAAATGTGGCACATATACACCATGGAATACTATGCAGCCATAAAAAATGATGCGTTCATGTCCTTTGTAGGGACATGGATGAAATTGGAAACCATTATTCTCAGTAAACTATTGCAAGAACAAAAAACCAAACACCACATATTCTCACTCATAGGTGGGAATTGAACAATGAGATCACATGGACACAGGAAGGGGAACATCACACTCTGGGGACTGTTGTGTGGTGGGGGGAGGGGGGAGGGAGAGCATTGGGAGATATACCTAATGCTAGATGACGAGTTAGTGAGTGCAGCACACCAGCATGGCACATGTATACATATTAACTAACCTGCACAATGTGCACATGTACCCTAAAACTTAAAGTATAATAATAATAAAAAATAAATAAATAAATAAATAAATAAAAATACCACCATCATTCTTCATAGAAATAGAAAAAAAATTCTAAAATTCATATGGAACCAAAAAAGAGCTTGCATAGTCAAAGCAAAAGTAAGCAAAAAGAACAAATCTGGAGGTATCACATAAAAATCAAACTATATTATAAGGCCAACAAAACAACATGGTACTGGTATAAAAATAGGCACATAGACTAATGGAAAAGATGAGAGAACCCAGAAATAAAGCCAAATACTTACAGCCAACTGAACTTTGACAAAGCAAACAAAAACATAAAAAGTTGGAAAAGGACACTCTATTTAATCAGTGGTGCTGGGATAATTGGCAAGTCACACGTAGGCGAATGAAACTGGATTCTCATCACTTACCTTATACAAAAATCAACTTAAGATGGATCAAAGACTTAAATCTAAGACTTGAAACTATAAAAATTCTAGAAGATAACATCAGAAAAACTCTTCCAGATATTGGCTTAGTCAACTATTTCATGACCAAGAATCCAAAAGCAAATGCAGCAAAAACAAAGATAAATAAGTGGGACTTAATTAAAATTAATTAAAGAGTTTTTGCATGGCAAAAGGAACACTCAACCCAGTAAATACATAATTGACAGAGTGGGAGAAAATATTCACTGTCTATACATCCAACAAAAGACTAATGTTCAGAATCTATAAGGAACTCAAACAAATTAGCAAGAAAAAAAAACAAACAATCTCTTATCAAAAAGTAGGCTAAGGACATGAATAGACAATTCTCAAAAGTAGATATACAAATGGCCAATAAACATATTAAAAATGCTCAACATCACTAATGATCAGGGAAATGCAAACTAAATCCACAATGCAATAGCACCTTACTCCTGCTAGAATGGTTATAATCAAAAAAAAAAAAAAAAAAGAAAAAAAGATGTTGGCATGGATGTGGTGAAAGGGAGCATTTCTCCACTGCTGGTGAGAATGTAAACTAGTACAGCCACTATGGAAAACAGTTTGGAGATTCCTTAAAGTACTAAAAGTAGTTCTCCCATTTGATCCAGCAATCCCACAACAGGGTATCTATCCAGAGGAAAATAAGTTATTATATGAAAAAGGTACTTGTACGTGCATGTTTATAGCATCACAATTCGCGATTGCAAAAATACAGAACCAACTCAAATGCCCATCAATCAATGAGTAGATAAATAAATAAATATATATATATATATATATATATATAAATATATACTACTGAGACATAAAAACGAATGAATTAATGGCATTCACATCAACTTGGTTAAGATTAGAGACTATTATTCTAAGTGAAGTAACTCAGGAATGGAAAGCCAAACATCGTACATTCTCACTTATAAGTGGGAGCTAAGCTATGAGGATGCAAAGGCATGAGAATGATATAATGAACTTTGGGGTCTTGGGGGAAAGAGTGGGAAGGGGAGAGGGGTAAAAGACTACAACCTGGGTTTACTTTATAGTGCTTGGGTGTTGGGTGCACGAAAATCTCACAAGTCACCACTGAAGAACTTACTCGTGTAGGCAAATACCACCTGTTCCTCAAAAACCTACGGAAATAAAAACTTAAAATAACACAGCCCAGACACTCTTAAAAAGGTCAATTCTTGATGCTGGATATATAGCATTAGAACAATTCAAGGGAAGAAGATTTCAGGAATTAACCTGAACTTCTACATGATATAATTAGGCTGAAGAGGTGGAGGTAAAGTTTAGGAATGAGCCACCCTGTGGCATTCCATAAACTCTCTTTTTTCCTGAAATGTTAGCACCTATCTTTCGGCACCCTCTCCCTCTCCTGTCTGACTTGCTGCAAATAAACACACCTGGCCAAGGAGAGAGCTATATGCACACCCATCCCTCACCAACCTCAAAGTACTCAAGAAAATCAGTGGGGAAGAAACAGACAGACTCAGTGCTCACTATGTTTGCTAGTGGTGTTATAAAAATACTATATGTCTAATGCTATATGTATTTATATATGTTATACATATGTATGATATGTAGCATGTTATAATTATTAATGTCGAAAAAATAAGCAAAGATATTAGATTTACATAGGCCTGAGTTAGAATCCTAATTAACCCCTGTGCGATGTGATTGAACTCGACTTACAGATTTCTGAGATTCAATTTCTTTATCTGTAAAATAGCAATTACACTGGACTTACTTAATGGGTGTGTTATAGTGATAAAACTGCATAATTCATATTTAAATGAGACTTGAGACAGAGATATATTTGATATGTTTGCTTTGGTGATATTCTTCCTTAAAGCACTCTCCAACCCCTTTGAGAACAGATCAAGCATTTCCTACTTTTTTTTTTTTTTTAATTATACTTTAAGTTTTAGGGTACATGTTCACAACGTGCAGGTTAGTTACATATGTATACATGTGCTATGTTGGCGTGCTGCACACATTAACTCATCATTTAACATTAGGTATATCTCCTAATGCCATCCCTCCCCCTTCCTCCCACCCCACAACAGGCCCCGGTGTGTGATGTTCCCCTTCCTGGGTCCATGTGTTCTCATTGTTCAATTCCCACCTATGAGTGAGAACATGTGGTGTTTGGTTTTTTGTCTTTGTGATAGTTTGCTGAGAATGATGGTTTCCAGCTTCATCCATGTCCCTACAAAGGACATGAACTCATCATTTTTTATGGCTGCATAGTATTCCATGGTGTATATGTGCCACATTTTCTTAATCCAGTCTATCATTGTCTGACATTTGGGTTGGTTCCAAGTCTTTGCTATTGTGAATAGTGCCACAATAAACATACATGTGCATGTGCCTTTATAGCAGCATGATTTATAATCCTTTGGGTATATACCCAGTAATGGGATGGCTGGGTCAGATGATATTTCTAGTTCTAGATCCCTGAGGAATCACCACACTGACTTCCACAGTGGTTGAATTAGGTTACAGTCCCACCAACAGTGTGAAAGTGTTCCTATTTCTCCACATCCTCTCCAGCACTTGTTGTTTCCTGACTTTTTAATGATCACCATTCTAACTGGTGTGAGATGGTATCTCACTGTGGTTTTGCTTTGCATTTCTCTGATGGCCAGTGATGATGAGCATTTTTTCATGTGTCTTTGGCTGCATCAATGTCTTCTTTTGAGAAGTGTCTGTTCATATCCTTCACCCACTTTTTGATGGGATTGTTTGTTTCTTTCTTGTAAATTTGTTTGAATTCTTTGCAGATTCTGGATATTAGCCCTTTGTCAGATGAGTAGATGGCAAAAATTTTCTCCCATTCTGTAGGTTGCCTGTTCACTCTGATGGTAGCTTCTTTTGCTGTGCAGAAGCTCTTTAGTTTAATTAGATCCCGTTTGTCAATTTTGGCTTTTATTGCCATTGCTTTTGGTGTTTTAAACATGAAGTCCTTGCCCATGCCTATGTCCTGAATGGTATTGCCTAGGTTTTTTTCTAGGGTTTTGATGGTTTTAGGTCTAACATTTAAGTCTTTAATCCATCTTGAATTAATTTTTGTATAAGGTGTAAGGAAGGGATCCAGTTTCAGCTTTCTACATATGACTAGTCAGTTTTCCCAGCACCATTTATTAAATAGGGAATTCTTTCCCCATTTCTTGTTTTTGTCAGGTTTGTCAAAGATCAGATAGTTGTAGATATGTGGCATTATTTCTGAGGGCTCTGTTCTGTTCCATTGGTCTATATCTCTGTTTCAGTACCAGTACCATGCTGTTTTGGTTACTGTAGCCTTGTAGTATAGTTTGAAGTCAGGTAGTGTGATGCCTCCAGCTTTGTTCTTTTGTCTTAGGATTGACTTGGCAATGCGGGCTCTTTTTTGGTTCCATATGAACTTTAAAGGAGTTTTTTCCAATTCTGTGAAGAAACTCATTGGTAGCTTGAAGAGAATGGCATTGAATCTATAAATTACCTTGGGCAGTATGGCCATTTTCACAATATTGATTCTTCCTACCCATGAGCATGGAATGTTCTTCCATTTCTGTGTATCCTCTTTTATTTCTTTGAGCAGTATTCTGTAGTTCTCCTTGAAGAGGTCCTTCACATCCCTTGTAAGTTGGATTCCTAGGTATTTTATTCTCTTTGAAGCAATTGCGAATGGGAGTTCACTCATGATTTGGCTCTCTGTTTGTCTGTTATTGGTGTACAAGAATGCTTGTGGTTTCTGCACGTTGATTTTGTATCCTGAGACTTTGCTGAAGTTGCTTATCAGCTTAAGGAGATTTTGGGCTGAGATGATGGGGTTTCTTAGAAATATGGGACTATGTGAAAAGACCAAATCTATGTGTGATTGGTGTACCTGAAAGCGACGGGGAGAATGGAACCAAGTTGGAAAACGCTCTGCAGGATATTAGCCAGGAGAACTTCCCCAATCTAGCAAGACAGGCCAACATTCAAATGCAGGAAATACAGAGAACACCACAAAGATACTCCTTGAGAAGAGCAACTCGAAGACACATAATTGTCAGATTCAACAAAGTTGAAATGGAGGAAAAAATGTTAAAGGCAGCCAGAGAGAAAGGTCAGGTTATCCACAAAGGGAAGCCCATCAGACTAACAGCTGATCTCTCGGCAGAAACTCTACAAGCCAAAAGAGAGTGGGAGCCAATATTCAACATTCTTAAAGAAAAGAATTTTCAACCCAGAATTTCATATCCAGCCAAACCAGTCTTCATAAGTGAAGGAGAAATAAAATACTTTACAGACAAGCAAATGCTGAGAGATTTTGTCACCAACAGGCCTGCCCTAAAACAGCTCCTGAAGGAAGCACTAAACATGGAAAGGAACAAGTAGTACCAGCCACTGCAAAAACATGCCAAATTGTAAAGATCATCGAGGCTAGGAAGAAACTGCCTCAACTAACGAGCAAAGTAACGAGCTGACATTATAATGGCAGGATCAAATTCATACATAACAATATTAACCTTAAATGTAAATGGGCTAAATGCTTCAATTAAAAGGCACAGACTGGCAAATTGGATAAAGATTCAAGAACCATCAGTGTGCTGTATTCAGGAATCCCATCTCATGTGCAGTGACACACACAGGCTCAAATTAAAGGGATGCAGAAAGATCTACCAAGCAAATGAAAAACAAAAAAAAGGTAGGGATTGTAATCCTAGTCTCTGATAAAACAGACTTTAAACCAACAAATATCAAAAGAGATAAAGAAGGCCATTACATAATGGTAAAGGGATCAATTCAACAAGAAGATCTAACTGTCCTAAATATATATGCACCCAATACAGGAGCACCCAGATTCATAAAGCAAGTCCTTAGAGACCTACAAAGAGACTTACACTCCGACACAATAATAACGGGAGACTTTGACACCCCACTGTCAACGTTAGACAGATCAACGAGAGAAAGTTAACAAGGATATCCAGGAATTGAACTCAGCTCTGCACCAAGTGGACCTAATAGACATCTACAGAACTCTCCACCCCAAATCAACAGAATATACATTCTTTTCAGCACCGCACCACACCTATTCCAAAATTGACCACATACTGGGAAGTAAAGCACTCCTCAGCAAATGGAAAAGACAGAAATTATAACAAACTGTGTCTCAGACCATGGTGCAATCAAACTAGAACTCAGGATTAAGAAACTCACTCAAAACCGCTCAACTACATGGAAACTGAACAACCTGCTCCTGAATGACTACTGGGTACATAACGAAATGAAGGAAGAAATAAAGATGTTCTTTGAAACCAGTGAGAACAAAGACACAACATACCAGAATCTCTGGGACACATTTAAAGCAGTGTGTAGAGGGAAATTTATAGCACTAAATGCACACAAGAGAAAGCAGGAAAGATCTAAAATTGACACCCTAACATCACAATTATTAAAAGCACTACAGAAGCAAGAGCAAACACATTCAAAAGCTAGCAGAAGGCAAGAAATAACTAAGATCAGAGCAGAAATAAAGGAAATAGAGACACAAAAAACCCTTCAAAAAAATCAATGAATCCAGGAGCTGGTTTTTTGAAAAGATCAACAAAATCGATAGACCCCTAGCAAGACTAATAAAGAAGAAAAGAGAGAAGAATCAAATAGACGCAATAAAAAATGATAAAGGGGATATCACCACCGATCCCACAGAAATACAAACTACCATCAGAGAATACTACAAACACCTCTACACAGATAAACTAGAAAATCTGGAAGAAATGGATAAATTCCTTGACACGTACACTCTCCCAAGCTTAAACCAGGAAGAAGTTGAATCTCTGAGTAGACCAATAACAGGCTCTGAAATTGAGGCAATAATTAATAGCTTACCAACAAAAAAAAGTCCAGGACCAGATGGATTCACAGCTAAATTCTACCAGAGGTACAAGGAGGAGCTGGTACCTTTCCTTCTGAAACTGTTCCAATCAATAGAAAAAGAGGGAATCCTCCCTAACTCATTTTATGAGGCTAGCATCATCCTGATACCAAAGCCTGGCAGAGACACAACAAAAAAAAGAGAATTTTAGACCAATATCCCTGATGAAAATCGATGCAAAAATCCTCAATAAAATACTGGCAAACTGAATCCAGCAGCACATCAAAAAGCTTATCCACCATGATCAAGTGGGCTTCATCCCTGGGATGCAAGGCTGGTTCAACATACGCAAATCAATAAATGTAATCCAGCACATAAACAGAACCAACAACAAAATAAATTAGGTATTGATGGGACATATCTCAAAATAATAAGAGCTGTTTATGACAAACCCACAGCTAATATCATACTGAATGGGCAAAAACTGGAAGCATTCCCTTTGAAAACTGGCGTAAGACAGGGATGCCCTCTCTCACCACTCCTATTCAACATAGTGTTGGAAGCATTTTTTTCTTTGTCGTGATTTACTTGGTGGATCAGAATAACTTCATTCTTGTCAGGGAACAAAAATAATGGTCACTCTTAGAGTTGACAAAGATGTACATGTACATGTTTGAAGGAATGGTGTGATGCTAAGAAGTTTGCCGACAGATAAGTTTTAGTGTGATATGGAACACCTCAAACCTCATAGTCTCAAGAATTAATTATCTCATGAGCTGGACTCAGCTAGAAGGCCAGTAGGTCAGTAGGATATAGAGGTTCCAGTTGCAGTTAAAAGGCTCACTTTTGGAGCTGGTCTGACCCATCCTTGTGTCACCATGTGTCATCTAATTCAACAGAAATTTCCCAGGCTCAAGACATCTTACCTAGGAAACTACTTTTTTTAGCTTGTGTCCCCTGAGGGTCGAGTGTATTACACTGGCAAATCTGTAGCTTGAATTTTACTCCTGGTCGTAGATTCCTGGGTTTGCAGAATCTCTGCTCAGCACAACCTTTGTTCAATAGAGATGCTAATGAATTTTCCCAAGTCAGGAGAATTTATAAGCATAACAAAGACACTCCTTGGAAATAGCCAAAATATCTATGTAAACAAATAGAACATTTTTCATGGGTCTGGAGTTCCTGCATAAAAGGACATTTTGACTTGAGATTTAATGGTTACTATGGCATTAGTTGTATAGGCACAAGCTATTAAGAACTAAGAAAATGTGGCATATATACACCATGGAATACTATGCAGCCATAAAAAATGATGAGTTCATGTCCTTTGTAGGGACATGGATGAAGCTGGAAACCACTGTTCTCAGCAAACTATCGCAGGAGAAAAAACCAAACACCACATGTTCTCACTCATAGGTGGGAATTGAACAATGAGAACACATGGACCCAGGAAGAGGAATATCACACACTGGGGCCTGTTGTGGGGTGGGGGGAAGGGGGAGGGATAGCATTATGAGATATACCTAATGTTAAATGACGAGTTAATGTGTGCAGCACACTAACATGGCACATGTATACATATGTAACAAACCTGCACGTTGTGCACATGTACCCTAAAACTTAAAGTATAATAAAAATTATATGTGTGTGTATATATATATATATATATATATATATGTTTAATGCTATAAATATTTAAAAAAAAAGAATTGAGGAAATTTTAATTTTTTTCTATACTGCACCAAACTTATGCCTGGCATAGTAGATATTCAGAAAACTTGTTAATTCTCCTACATGTATATACTTTTTCTTTCTGATATAATGAACAGTAAAAGTTTCCTTAATTAAATAATAACTTAGTACTAGAATTTAACAACTACTGGATTACTAGAAGTAATTATAGATGTAATGTGAAGGTCACAAACTGCCCAAATAATAGCTTTTTCTTCTTGCTTTATAGTTGATAAATACTATCTGATTTAATATTTTCAGCAACCTTAAGACAGTTAAGTATTGCTGTCTACATTTGTACATGAGATTCAGAATCATAGGAAAATTTTAAAAATCTAAAAACAGTTAAATAATCACATAGTGGTAAACATATATATTCATATATTTTCAAAATAAGAGAAGATAGATAGCATTAGACCTAAAATTAACATAAATTTATTTGCTTTTAAGTTTATTGTTGTCACTATTTTGTTTCCAAAAAAGTTATCAGGTGTATAGCATTATGATTTAAGAGTGTTTTCCACTGCTTCACTGGTACTTCAAATTAATTGCACAGAAGATGCCAACTGGATAAATAATTGACTGATTTGTAATGATAGATAGATATATACCTGTAATTATCTAGCAAAATTTCATTGGGATCAAAGTTAAGTCTGATTTTTTTAACATCTCCATAAGTTAGGAAGCAAATATAATCATTAAAATTTACTCAGCTGGAAGATGGTACTAAATCTAGTTAAGTTCTAAAGAAAGGTGGGAACTTACTTTAAGGAAGCAGTAAAATAAAATTCCACTATAACTCATAAGCATTAGTGAATTTGAAAAATAAAATGAAATGAAGCCCATACAAATATATAGTGGAGTAGCCTATACAAGTTTTCAAATGTAAATCCACATAAATGTGTATGTGTAGTGATTGCTAGAAACAAATAAGAGCTAGTATAACAGTTTTCCTGCAAATAGAACCCTTTTTGGCATAAGCACATCCTTCGTGTGAGTAAATAAACACCAGTAATTTTGATGAGTTCATTATATTTTCATAGAGAATTGACACAGGATATTTGATTTCGTCTTAAATAAGTCAATATGCGTTAAGCTAACCACACACTAATTTGGGTAGAGTAGAAAATGGCAATACATGCTTTCGAAACAACTGTATTAACAAGGGTGATCATCATAATGCTGAATAATAAACCAAGTGACAGATTTTAATTATCATTGTGGTGACTTGATTTTGATTGATGTTACATTATATAGCTCTACTTTTTAAATACATAATTTAAGTATTTTGAAAATGTTATTCCAACAAAATCTGTTAATAGTCAATAATCCAATGATTGCATAAAGTACAATTTACTATCCAGCTATTGACAACTTTTCCTAATGAAAACTCTGCACTCATTATTCACTTTGCTGTCTCCACTTACTTAAGTTGATGGATGTCCACTGGTAAAATACTTTTACAACATTTATGTTTCTTTTCCAGCTAAAGCAGGAATCAACAAGCTCTTTTTTGAGTCTAGATGATAAATATTTTAGGCTTTGCACATCATAGAGTTTCTGTTGCAACTACTCAACTTTATCTAGTGCAAAAGCATCCATAACAATATGTAAATGAATGGGCACGGGCATGTTAAAAAAAACTTTATTTACAGCTGAATTTGACTTATGGGCCACAGTTTGACAGTCCCTGATCTAGATAATTGTCAGTTCTTAAATTGTAATGGCAAAAAAAAACTTTAAGAAAACAGATCTCAAATAGTATTAGACGATAGATATAATTTGCAGTATGTTTAAATCCACAGTGTAACAATAAGGTATTGATCAAAATTGTGCTTTTAAAACAATGACTAGTTATAGCTTTTTTGTGCTGGCTTATGAGAGAGACCCAACTGGAAGAGGCCAAACTTAAAGTAATATAAATTAAATATCTACTTAATTTTTTTCTTCATTATGCTTTTGTGTTGTGTCAGTATTGAAAGTAAACATAAAACAAAGGGGTTGCAGGCCCCATGCAAGTCCAAAACCCAGTGAGGCACTCATTAAATAATCTCCAAAATAGCTCCAAAATAATCTCCTTTGACTTCATGTCTCACATCCAGTGCATGCTGATGCAAGAGGTGGGCTCCCAAGGCCTTGGGCAGCTCTGCCCCTGTGGCTCTACATGGTAATAGCCTGCTTTCACAGGCTAGCAAAGAGTGCCTGCAGCTTTTCCCGGTGCATGGCACAAGGTGTAGGTGGCTCTACTACTTAGGGGGCTGGAGGATGATGGCTCTCTTCTCACAGCTCCAAAAAGCAGTGCCCTAGTGGGAACTCTGTGTGAGGGATCCAACCCCATACTTCTCTCCTGCATTGCCCTAGTAGAGGTTTGCCATGAGGGCTCCATCACTGCAGCAGACTTCTGCCTGTACATCCAGGGGTTTCCATACATCCTCTGAAATCTAGTTAGAGGTTCCCAAACCTCAACTCTTGTCTTCTGGGAACACCAAATGGAAGCCACCAAGGCTTGGGGCTTGCACCCTCTGAAGCTGCCCAAGCTGTACCTTGGCCTTTTTTAGCCATGGCTGGATCTGGAGCAGCTGGGACACAAGGTGCCATGTCTTAAGGCTGCATAGAGCAGCAGGGCCCTGGGTCTGGCCCATGAAACCATTTTTCCCTCCTTTGCCTCTGGGCCTGTGATTGGAGGGGCTGCCTTGAAGATCTCTGAAGTGTCCTGGAGATATTTTGCCCACTCTCTTGGCTATTAACATTCTGCTTCTTTTTACTTATGCAAATTTCTGTGCTAAAAACCTCTGCACCATTTTTTCTCATTATTTTGCATACTTTTATCTTTCAAACAACCAAAGAATTAGAGTTAAGAAAGCTGTAGACATTCTGGTTTTTAACATACATAAAGCAGACAAGATAAATTACTCCTTTTATACAATTGAATAAATACATTGCAAGCTCTGCACTTACCTTCAATAAATGAATGCAGCAAAAAGTTATGAAGGCAGAAAAAAATGAAGAAAATAGTGAGAACACTTATTCAAATCCTGTCAATTCTATAAGCCAATATCAAATTCTATCTTTCCAAGGAAATACTTATTAACATTCTCATATTTCTTGAACTGAATTGGAACATAATTGAATCAGAAAATAACCTTCCATATCTTTCCTTGAAAACAAAACTACTAAAACAAATTATTATTTTTTCAGTATGTGATTACTAGATTAGAAAAAGGTACAGAGAAGAGCAAACACCTGGGTTCTATTTGTTATTTTCTCAATTGGCTATATAACTTTCTTATTATTCATTTTAATATTAAAATATACCTCTACTGAAAGGAACAATACAGTCATAAAATATACAAAGTGCATTGGAAGAAGTAAAAGAATCAACATTCTTGCTATTTGTTCTGTCTTTGACATCCTTTAATTCAAGAAGCACCATAAAGTCCGTCAATTATGCTCAAGGTGGGACTCAGAGGAAAGGGCATAGAAATAACCTAGTTAACCATGTCTGTTGCCAGGATAGGATGTAAGCTAAAATAATAAAAGAAGTATTTGGCATTTGTTCTTTTTATGAGGCAAGCAGATTACATTAATATTTGGAGGAAATACTTAGGCAAATAATAAATATTATGCATACGGGAAGTAGCTTTTATAATGTCTTCTCACAGAATCTCTGATGGTAACAGGCTGGTCAAAGGTTTTCTTGGAAGCTAGAAAACACAGATAACTAAAAAGGAAAAAAAAATAAAGTCACTTTAAATAGCATGGATAAAGAAAGTGATAGTTACTATTTTGATAGGCATTCTAATATGTACATATGTAAATAAATTCAGTTTTACAAAAAGTGAACAAACTAATAATGAGCTTAACTCAGTTTTTTCTTCACAAGCTATTATAAGTATTTTCCCAGTTTTAAAGACATGTAGTTATATGACCACTTTTAAAAATAATTGTTTATTATTAAACAATTTGGATAACCCATTATCTAAGGAATGTCCTATTCTTGACCATTTATACTGTGTCTGATTTTTCAAATAGGTAAGCAATCCTTCTATTAGCAACGCCATTTTCATAATACCTGTTATTTACTTTAACACACTTTCTTATTGTTAGTTTCCTATTGCTACTGTAACAAATTATCACAACTTTAGCAACTTAAAACAATACAGATTTATCAACCTAAGTTTCTGTAGGTTAGAAATTCAATGCAGATCTCGATGGACTAAAAATCAAGATGTTGACAGGGTTGTTTTCTCTTTTGGAGGCTCCAAGGGAGAATCCATTTCCTTGCCTTTTCCAGTTTTTAAAGATTACCAGCATTCCTTGGCTTCTTTTAAAAATATCATTTACTTTTGCATAAATTTCTTTGGTCATCAAAAGAAAAATATGATAAATTAGATTTCCTCAAATTGACAACATCTGCCCCTCAAAAGACATTGACAAACTTTGTAGGCTAGTGATAATGATAGACCAGAAGAAAGTAATACACACACATGTGCATACACACACATGACAAAATACTTGTTTCCTTAATACACAGAGAAAAAAAAGAACCCAATGTAAGTGGGCACAAGACTTAATACACACTTCATTAAAAAAAGATATACAGGCTGCGCACGGTGGCTCAAACCTGTAATCCCAGCACTTTGGGAGGCCGAGACGGGCAGATCCTGAGGTCAGGAGATCAAGACCATCCTGGCTAACACGGTGAAACCCTGTCTCTACTAAAAATACAAAAAAATTAGCCTGGCATGGTGGTGGGCGCCTGTAGTCCCAGCTACTTGGGAGGCTGAGGCAGGAGAATGGTGTGAACCCAGGAAGTGGAGCTTGCAGTAAGCCGAGATAGTGCCATTTCACTCCAGCCTGGATGACAGAGCGAGACTCCATAAAAAAAAAAAAAAAAAAGATATATGGTGTTCAACAAGCACATCATTGTACTCAGAGAAAATACATATTGAAATCACAATAAGCTACCACTAGCTTATTGTGATTATTAACTCACAATCACTAGGATGACTCAAACCATAAAGACTAAACATATGAAATGTTGAGAATGTGGAGCAGCTAGAAACTCATATATTGCTGATGGAGGTGCAAAAGTGTTAAAACTGCTTAGGAGAACTGTTTGATAATTTTTGAAAAAGCTAATCATGCATCTGTGCAATGACCAAACAATTCCATTTCCAGAAAAATGAAAACATATTCCCATGAAAAGACCTACAAACAATGTTCATAACAGTCTTATTCATAGTAAATAACTCCATTGTCTACTAAAGGAGAATGAATACTATAGAAATTGTACTATATTTTTACAGTGGAATATTACTTAGTAATAAAATCCCCAAATTTTCAGAGGCTTGCAGCAACATGAATTAGTCTCAAAAACATAATATTGAGTGAAAAAGTACAAAGAGAAGTGGGCATATATTTGATGATTCATGTATGTAAAATACAAGAAAAGGTATGCAATCTATGCTGATAGAAATCAGAGGTTTTACCTGGTTAGGTGAGAGGAATTTATGGGAAAGGAACATTATTGAACTTTCAGAGATTATGGCAATATTCCATATGTTGGTTAGCATGGTATTAACATGGATGTGTAAAATTACCCATCCTTACTGAACATAACACTTATGATTTGTACATTATATTATATATAAGTTATATACCACATGTGTATATTCTTTTATGAAAATGGGCAAAGATATTGAATAGACACTTCTTCAAAGAAGATATACAAATGATCAATATGCACATGAAAAAATGAGAATTAGTCTTTAGGGAAATGCAAATCAAAACCATAATGAGACCGTATTTCACATGCATTAGGATGACTACGATTAAAAAGACAGATAACAAAACATTCAGGGAGAATGTGGAGAAATTGTAAACCCAGTGTTCTTTGGTGAGAAGGTAAAATGGTATAACTGCTTTGGAAAACAATCTGGCAATTCCCTAAAATGTTAAATATAAAGTTTCCATACGAGCTAGCAATTTGGCTTCTTAACAGTCACATAAGATGACTGAAAACCCATGTCTACACAAAATTCATAATAGCCACAAAATGGAAACAATGCAAATTGTGAATGAATTGTGAATGAATGAATGAAACAGGATATATCCATATAATGGAATATTATTCAGCAAAAAGATAGAATGAAGTACAACATGAATGGGCCCTGAAAACATTATTGTAATTGAAAGAAGCCAGACACAAAAGAATAATATAATATTACTTTATTTGTATGAAATGTTTAGAATAGACACATACAGACAGAAGTTAGATTAGTTATTGTCAGTGGCTGGGAGAAGGGAAGTTAGGAGTGATTCCTAAAAGGTAAGGACATTTTGGGGGGATATTATATTTTCACACTAAATTGTGGTGATGATTGCACAATGCTAAATGTATTAAAAAATCCAAGAAATTGTAAACTTTAAATGGGTGTGCTGTATTGTATATAAATTATATTTCAATAAAGCTGTTTAAAAAACATACAGATCAAAACAAAATAAACAGCCTTTTAATCAGTCTACTGCTGCTATAATAAGGACAACTCCTCAGCTTGACCTTGGAGTCTACTAGTCTGGAGCCCAGGAAAATTGGACAGCCTGCCGCTTCTACATTGCCAGCACATACACAGAGACAGAAACTGGTCTGTTAAAAATTCTTCCAATTAGACAGGAAGGAAGGAGAGAAGGAACAGAAGACCTCTAAACAACTAGGAAACAAATAACAAAATGTCAGAAGTAAGTCCTTACTTATTAATAATAACATTAAATGTAAATGGACTAAGCTCTCTAATCGAAAGGCATAGAGTGGCTGAATGAATAAACAAGGATGAACAATGTGTTGCCTACAAGAAACACACCTCATCTGTGAAGACACACAAACTGAAAATAAAAGAATGGAAAAAGATACTCTACGCAAATGGAAACTGAAAAAGAGCAGGAATAGCTATACTTATATAAGGTAAAATAGATTTCAGGACAAAAACTATATAAAAACAGACAAAGAAGGTCATTATATAATGCTAAAAAGATTAATTCAGCAAGAGAATGTAACAATTGTAAATATACATGAATCCAACACTGGATCACCCAGTTCTATGAAGGAAATATCATTAGAACTAAACAGTGAGATAGACTTCAATATAATAATAGCTGGAGACTTCAAAACTCCACTTTGAACATTGGACAGACCATCCAGACAGAGAATCAAAAAAGAAACATTGGATTTAGCCTGCACTATAGACCAAACGGAACTAACAGATATTTAGAGAACATTTCATCCAGCAGCTGCAGAATACACATTCTTCTTTTTAGCACATGGGTCATTCTCAAGGATATACCATATGTTATGCCACAAAAGTTTTGAAGGTCTTAAAAACTTCAAAAGAATTGAAATTATATCAAGTATCTTCTAACTACAATAGACTAAAACTAGAAATCAATAACAAGAGAAACTTTGGAAACTTTACAAAGACATGGAAATTAAACAATATGCATTTGAATAGTCAGTGGGTCAATGAAGAAATTAAGAAGGAAAATTTTAAAAAATGAATCAAATAAAAATGGAAATACTACATACCAAAAAAGTGAAAGCTATACTAAGAAGAAAGTTTATAGCAATAGCACTTACATCAAAAAAGTAAAAAAAAAAACAAAAAAAAAACAAAACTTCAAATAAACAACTTAATGATGCATCTTTAAGAACTAGAAAAGCAAGAGCAAACCAAACCCAAAATTAGTAGAAGAAAAGAAATAATCAGAGTAGAAATAAATGAAAATAAAAAATACAAAAGATCCATAAAATGAAAAGCTGGACTTTTGAAATGATAAATAAATGACAATCCTTTAGCTAGACTAACTGAGATAAAAAGAGAGAAGACTCAAATAAACAAAATCAGAGATGAAAAAGGAAACATTATTACTGATAAGAGAGAAATTGAAAGGATCATTAAAGGCTACTATGAGCAATTATATGCCAATAAATTGGAAAACCTAGAAGAAACAGATACATTCCTAGGCACATACAACCTACAAAGATTGAGCCATGAACAAATAAAAAAACCTGAACAGACCACTAACAAGTAAAGAGATTGAAGCTATAACAAAAATCTCCCAGCAAAGATAAGCCTAGAACCCAGTGGTTTCACTGCTGGATTTTACCAAATATTTAAAGAAGAGCTATAATAATCCCAACCTTACTCAAACTGTTCCAAAAAACAGAGGAGGAGGCAATACTTCCAAACTGATTCTACAAGGCGAGTGTTATCCTGATCTCCAAACCAGACAAAGACACATCAAAAAAAAAAAAAAAAAAGAAAAGAAAACTACAGACCCACATCCATGAGGAACGTTGATGCAAAATCATTAATAAAATTCAAGAAAGCCAAATTCAACAACACATTAAAAATATCATTCTTCATGACCAAGTGGGATTTATCCCAGGGATGCAAGGATGGTTCAACATATGCAAATCAATCAATGTGATACATCCTATCAACAGAATTAAGGATAAAAGCCATATGGTCATTTCAATTGATGCTGAAAATCATTTGATAAAACTCAACATTTCTTCATGATAAAAGCCTGAAAAAACTAGGTAGAGAAGGAACATACCTCAACACAATAAAAGCTGTATATGACAGATCCACAGCTAATATCACATTGAATGGGGAAAAACTGAAAGCCTTTCCTCTAAATCCAGAACACAACAGCCCACTTTCACCAGAGTAATAGAAGTTCTAGATACAGCAATCAGACAAGAGAAAGAAATAAAGGGCATCCAAGTTGTAAAGGAAGCAGTCAAATTATCCTTGTTTGCAGATGATATAATCTTATATTGGGAATAACTTAAAGATGTCACTAGAAAACTATTAGAACTGATAAATTCACTAAAGTTGCAGGATATAAAATCAACATAGAAAAATCTAGCATTTCTTTATGCCAACAGCAAACAATCTGAAAAAGAAATCAAGAAAGTAATCCCATTTATAATAGCTACAAATAAAATTAAATACTTAGGAGTAAACTTAACCAAAGAAGTGAAAGTTCTCTACAATAAAAACTATAAAACATTGGTGTAATAAATTGAAGATGACACAAAAAATGAGAAAATATTCCATGTTCATGGATTTGAAAAATCAATATTGTTAAAATGTCCATACTACCCAAAGCAATCTACAGGTTCAATGCAATCCCTGTTAAAATAGTGATTACATTCTTCACAGAAATAAAAAAAATCCTAAAATTTATATGAAACCATAAAAGACCCAGAATATCCAAAGCTATGCTGAGCAAAAAGAACAAAACTTTAGGAATCAAATTACCTGACTTCAAATTATACTATAGAGCTATAGTAACCAAAACAGTATGGTACTGGTATACAAAAAGACACACAAATGAATGGAATAGAATAAAGAACCCAGAAACAAATTCATACATCTACAGTGAACTCATTTTTGACAAAAGTGCCAAGATATACACTGGGAAAAGGACAGTCTCTTCAATAAACGGTGCTGGGGAAACTGGATATTCATATGCAGAATAATGAGATTCCTTATTTCTCACCATATACAGAAATCAAATCAAAATGGATTAAAAACTTAAATCTAAAACCCCAAACTAAGAAATCTTGGCACATATTTCTTATGCCATATATATGCCATAAGCCCAGGCAACCAAAGCAAAAATGAGTGAATGAGATCACATTAATTTAAAAAGCTCCTGCACAGTAAAGGAAACAATCAACAAAGCTAAGAGATGACCTACAAAATGGGTAAAATATTTTTAAACTATCCATCTGATAAGGGATTAATAACCAGGATATACAAGGAACTCAAAAACTCAATAGGAAAAAAATTAATAATTTGATTAAAAATGGGCAAAAATCTGAATAGACATTTCTCAACAAAAACATACAAATAGCAAGCAGACATATGAAAAGCTGTTCAACATCAATGATTGTCAGAGAAGTACAAATCCAAACTACAATGAGATATCATCTCATCTCAGTTAAAAGAGCTTTTATTCAAAAGACAACTAATAAATACTAGTGAAGATGTGGAGAAAAGAGAATGCTTGTACGCTGTTGGTGGGGATATAAATTACTGCAATTACTATGGGGAGTGGTACTGAGGTTCCTCCAAAAACTAAAAAAATAGAGCTACCATATGATCTAGCAATATCACTGCCAGGTATAAACCCAAAATAAAGGAAATTAGTATAGAAAGAGATATCTGCACTCCCATGTTTATTGCAGCACTATTCACAATAGCCTAGGTAGGAAGCAATCTAGGTGTCAATCAACAGACAAATGCATAAAGGAAAATGTGATTCATATAACAATGGAGCACTATTCAGTCACAAAAAAGAATGAGATCCGTCATTTGCAACATGACTGGAACTGGAGGACTTTATGTTAAATAAGTTGAGCCAGGCACAGAAAGACAAACTTCCCATATTCTCACTTATCTGAGAGAGCTGAAAACTAAAACAAGTGAACCTTTGGAGATAGAGAAGAATGATGAGGGTAGGTGGGGGGTAGGAGGGGAAATGAAGATGGTTAATGGGTTTAAAAATATAGTTAGAATGAATAAGATATAGTATTTAATAGCACAAAAGGGTTAGTCCCGTCAACAATGATTTCTTGTGCATTAAAAAAAACCGAAAGACAGCCCGATGGCTTATGCCTGTAATCTCAGCACTTTGGGAGGCCAAGGTGAACGGATCACTTGAGACCAGTAGTTTGAGACCAGCCTGGCCAACATGGTGAAACCCCTTCACTACTAAAAAAATACAAAAATTAGACAGGCGTGATAGCAAGTGCCTGTAATCCCAGCTGCCTGGGAGGCTGACGCAGGAGAATCACTTGAACCCAGGAGGCGGAGGTTGCAGTGAGCCAAGATTATGTTACTGCACTCCAGCCTGGGCGACAGAGTGAGACTCTATCTCAAAAAATATATAAAAATTAAAAAATAAAAAACAAAAATAACTAAAGAGTACAATTGAATTGTTTGTATGCACAAAGTAAAGGATAAATGCTTGAGGCAATGGATACTCCATTTACCCTGTATGCCTGTATCAAAATATGTCACCTCATAAATATATACACCTGCTACGTATCCACAAAAGTTTTAAAAATTTCTTTCAATTATTAGACAATTTAGTGAATAATTTTGTACTCATGAATGCCTGGTCAAAGTTATTTTCCTGTGGGGAATATTCTTCAGGAATATTTGACTAATATTAATTTCATATTTAATAATTTAATATTAAATTAATATTTAATATTAGCATTAAATGTTCCTGAGGAATATTTCTAATTATGATTGTAAAGAATTAAAAGTGCACCATACATTTGCTTTCTTTTAGGCTGGGAAGTATGCAGGACCTCCGTTTGCAGAGCACAACCTTGCAGCAGCATGACAAATGCTGAGGATGCCTGCGTGTGAAGCTGCATGTTTTATGCATGTCACCAGGCCAGATCAAGTCTTAGCATGTCATTACCAATGAGTTGTGAAGCTGAAGGAATCTTTTCTAAACTATTGATTCTAAAGAACAAGTTTTGATCAACTCTACTAGAGGAATGTCTGAACTAGTTTTCTATTCTCTCTGTAGAAACAGACATTACAAAAATCATTGTCATGGGGAGGCTAAGCAAGGACAATGTAATCCAACAGTGTAGAAAAAAGTATTAGGAAATTAACTGTTCAGAATATTATGCCATGTTGATTTTAATTTTATTTGTAGTATCCATCAGTTTTACATTTAATAATTTACAGTAAATCATTTTTCTCATTTTAATTACATATTTATGTGTGAACCTAATTAAATGAATAAAAGTTAGATTTTAAATTTAATTTTTTTAAATTGTGCTTGTTGCATATGATGGTTCCTTGCTTTCCTTTTCTTTGTTAATTCACTTTTTACAAGAGCATTTTGAAGTTTTTCTCTTCTTTCTTCAGTTGCAATCGTGACAGCTTTGACTCAAAATTAATTCATTGCTTAAAACAAATGCCCCCGTCATCTGTTTTATTTTTTAATCTATAATGTTCAAATGCATTTATCAAACACATCCGTGGTTTGCCCACTGTTTCCTGTAACATTTGACATTCCATCAGCTTTAGCATCTTCCATAGACTTTTCCGTGCCCTCTCGATTGATAGCCATATAATTTTTCTTCTTAATCAGACACAAAGCAGCCTTATATTATCGTCACAGAATAGGAATTCTAGTTTTGAAATTTTGACATTGAACAGTGTTAGTATTTCCTGTTGATAAATTATGACTAATCCTATAACACGGAGTCACCTGCATTCAATCTACTGACCTTACAATCAGTTCATTCACCTCATACAGTATGGCTTGGTAACACTGTTCAAAATATAATCTTCCTGTAGATCAGAGATGTCAAAAGGGACAGATTTTAAAAACACAACAAATATAAGGCACTTGCATTGTAGTTGGTTTTGGGAAGTTGTGTTTGAAATGCAGACGTGGTTTATCTCTATCCAGCTTGTGTGTGAAAAAAAAAAAAAAGAGGAGACAGGGAAAGTCAAATTTCAATGTTTTTCCTCTCCTTAATCTGTCACAGGCCAGTGATCGGGTTAATAGACTGGAGAAAAAGCTATCTTGTCAAGATAAACTGAACTTTTATCACAACTAGGTCCTACCATCAATGAGTTGTCATAAAACAGAAAAAAAAAGAAAAAATCTCTAACAATCTTTCGTTTTATCTATAGAGCACCCGCTGTCCCAAATGATGCCAAACTGACTGACAGCAGGTAGTTTTTAAGAAAAACCAGCTCCTTTTCTCCCTTGGGCTTCTGTGCCTTTACTGAGCCCTTGGCGTGGGATTGTACAGCGGGAAAAGTCAATAGCGCCTGCTGTCAACACAATGTGTCTATGTGCATTTTTTAAGTCTCTGCCTTCTTGAAGTTCAGTTGTCAGGAACCTCGCTTTTAAATAGATTTCAGTGTCAATATGTGCTGCTTCCCACTAATGCTAAGAAATGGCCACAAAGAGCAGGATCAGATGCTTTGTCAGGTTGTTGGCAGTGCTGATACTTATTGGCTGTCCACCCATCAGGAAACATCTTTAGAAACCTGGAAGGCCTGGATGAAAAGAACAGCCTCACAGCTTTTTTCATGAAGTTTTATTATCACTAGGCTAACTGTAATGTGTGTGTATATATATTAGACATACAGTCGAAATGTATTCTTGTCTTAGATATTGAGTGTCTATTTTTGAATAAATGCAATGGCAAACTAAGGACTACATGTAATAGCTTCAACATTTTCTAATACGCATGAATTACTATAGCTACAGAAACATCTGGCTGTCAATTTCTGCAGATTACATAGATTTTTTATTTATTTTGCTGTTTAGAGTAGTCCTCATTCAGTCTGTAAACATACTTTCTCCAAATTCATATATAGATAGATACTTTTTGGAGGGAAGAGACAATTTTGCTGATTTAAAAAAAAATTCTACGTAAGCTGATCAACTAAATTGACTTCATGGTTTTAAAAGGTAGATCAAATTAATTAAATAGAATTTGAGATACATTTAGCATCAGTCTCTCTAAGCCTTAATATTATTGTGGACATTTACTAAAAACATTGAATCAGATTAATTTATTCTTTCTTTTCCACCACAAAATATTTTAAGTAACTTAAACAGACAATGCACTGTGTTGTATACCTCATGGTATTGAGAGATAAATTAATTCCTTTACTAATCAAGAATTTAAATTCTAGTATCTTTCTGGGCACAGCCAGAAACAAAACTAAAGTAAGAATTATAAGAGAAATACAGCAGTGGCAATAGAGGGGAAAACTATAATTAATTCATTATTACTAGAAATATAGCTTTGTGAAGAAAATACCTTTTAATCTGGACTTTGAAAGATGATCAGAATGCCTACAGTTGGAATTGGGGTGGGGAATGGTAGGAAAAGTATTCCATACTGAGAAATTGGTAGGAACGCTGAGGTTCTAAACACCAGTTAAGTTAAAAAATTAGAAATTATTTATGGTTTTATGTGTATATAGAGTAGGGAGGGAAGTGAGCCATGCAGTGAAGTTGGTAAATAAGAAATAACCATTAACTTATCCTGAGAGGTTCTTATAAAACATGGTATATATAATTAAGATTTTTTCAGTTCATTCATTTATTTATCCATTTATTCACTTATTTATTTCTTTTAATAACAAACATCTGTTGAGGTCCTACTATCAGCCAGGATGTATTTTAGGCACTGGAAACACAGAACTATAAAAAATAATGTTTTTGTTTTTCATGAAATTAATATTTTAGTACAGGGAGACAGGAAATCAATGAGTACACAGAAAGGTACATAAATATCAACTAGAATGAACTTCAAAGAGACAAAAAGGCAGGGCAATAAGATAGAGAGATAGATGGGATGAATAGAAAATGGTACTATTTTAATACTGTGGTCATATTAGACCTCTTTGACATACGACATTTGAGCCAAAATCTGAAAGAGTCAAAGTCAAGATTTACAAAGAGAGAAGGGGAAGAATGTTCCAAGCAGAGAGAACAGTAAGTTCCAGGACCCGAGGCAGGAGAGACCAGTGATCTTTCTCAGTTTTCATATCAAATGAAGTGGTCCCATTACATAATCTCTGACGTTTGTAGAGTAGTGTTTAGTTTCTTTAATTTTCCATGAGAAGCAACTGATGTATTAAAAACAATTCAGATATATGTTTTAGAAAAAGGGGTACTTTAACTTTTCCACAGAATAATAGTTTTCAAGTGGTTCCAAAAATGGGGTATAACTTTGTGATGGAGCACAGGAATACACTTTGAAGCTTTCTTTGCTGTACTTGAGCATAAATTATTTAGGCCTATACTACCCACAGTCACATAATTTCATACACTGAGCACTTCAGTTCTATTTCAGTTAACTCTCCAGATGGTGTTATTATTTTAATAGTTCATATGAAAAGAAACAAAATAGTAGAAATCATTTCAAGTCGAAAAATATAATAAGTCCCAATAATTGGCAAAATATTGTACCTTTGTTTAGTTTTTACTTTCTTCTAAAGAATAGGAAAACTACAATTATGTCATCATTTTGAATATTAGTCAACACATGCAAAATCCAAAGTCTGGGTATTGTGGAACAATGGTACCCCGCATGACTTGACAGCTTGCCTATAAATGAAAAATGAGAAAACGAGTGATAACTCCTCAATTGAGATTTCCAATGCAGCTAAATTGAAGAGAGTTGATGCTTTAGCAAAGGAGAAATTTTGACATACTCACAAATTAAGTCATATTAACAGATCTTTTTATTTTCCAAAATAATAATCCAGAGGTTTTTTTTTTACATATTTCTCATAGTGTGTTACAGATTAGAAACAATCATTCAAAAATGGTACAGTTTGCTTTATCTTTGAAGGTCTTATTTGGCCAAAACCTGATGCTTATATTTATGGGTAATCAGAAATATTTAATGAGCTATTTCCAAATTAGGTATATTTTAGTACCTTTCATGAAGGTCGCTATCATTTGCTGACAAATTGTTCCTGTAAGTTTCCTGGTAGAAGGCTGATACTCTTAGCAGAATCACATCAATTGACAGAGCTGAGGAGGGGAGTAAATTCTGGACCCTCGTTGGTCTGAAATGCTCTAGTTAAGGAATATTTTCATGACTTAAGTGTTCCAGCGGTAGCCAGCATAAGCTTAGGCATTATATCATTAAATAAAAATGCACTCCAAACCTTTATGCTTTAGAAAGGAAAAAGTATGTTGTTGGAGACTCATGTTTCTGTTCAATGAATGGAAATTCATTTGCTTTTCTGATCTGAATTAGAGTAAATTTTCCACTAAGGGAAGCAATGTATCTCCAGAAAACAGCAGAATTCAGACAGAACCTAAAAGGAAGGCATATAGATCTTACTAGGGGCACTCAGGATAGACAGGGGAAGACCTTGTGGTTAATAACAGTAGGCATTTTGCAATTTATCAACAAAAGCAAGCCTCTGAAGAAAGCATCATTAAAGACTTGATATTTGAAGCAAACTTTGAGAATTAGATTAGCCACATCTCAGGCTATCTACAAGGACTAAGAAAGGTCACTGATTAAGAAACTGATCAATTTTAGCAGAAGTAAAGAGGAACAACAACATGGGATCAAATGGAGAGTCTGCTTAAACTAGAAGAAAAAGCCAGACTGGATCTTAATAAACCAAATGTAGTTATCATGTCTTTAGAAAAAAATCAGATGTTGACATCAAGAAACTGACATTGTACATGCTATTGTATTTGCAGCTGTTATTGTATTTTTTGGCTTAAATTAGGTATATATATACATATATATGTATGTTTGTGTGGGCCTTATGGCTGTTGTTCATCTTACAGGTACAATATGTCTCTTATAATTACTATACTGATTTCAGTAGAAACCACACATGATTAAGCCTTGCTAACCTACAAATATTTTAAGAGTGATCTGTATTTACATTTATCCTATTCAGAAACAAGACAAATGATTGAGAGTCCATGTATCCCAAATAAATATATATGACAATAGCTGAAATAGAACTTTGACTCAGGATGCTGTGCAGCTTCCTGAATAAGAAATTTATATATATATATATATATATATATATATATAAAATTAGGGATATATATATAAAATTAGGATATATATATAATTACACATACATATCTATATATATATGTGTATACATACAATTAGGATATATATACAATTATACATATATATCTATATATATACATATATCCTAATTATACATATTTAATTATACATATATATCTATATATACATATAAATCTATATATACATATATACATATATATCTATATATACATATAAATCTATATGTACATACATATGTATATACATATAATTAGGATATATATAATTATACATATATATCTATATGTATACATATATCCTAATTTTATATATATATCCCTAATTATATATATATATATATAAATTTCTTATTCAGGAAACTGCACAGCATCCTGAGTCAAAGTTCTATTTCAGCTATTGTCATATATATTTATTTGAGATAGATGGACTCTCAATCATTTGTCTTGTTTCTGAATAGGATAAATGTAAATATGGATCACTCTTAAAATATTTGTAGCTTAGCAAGGCTTAATCATGTGTAGTTTCTATTGAAATCAGTATAGTAATTATAAGAGACATATTGTACCTGTTAGATTAACAATAGCCATAAGGCCCACACAAACATTTTGCAGAGCTTTCACTAAGTGTCACTTAGCAGTACAATACAAACTGGACTGGGGACTACAGAGTCTGTTTAACAATGGGACCTAAAAGCCCTGGTTGCCCTAGAGACAAGGCCACCTCAGCATAGATGCAACTTGCATGAACCTTGTAACAAAGCTTGCCCTTACAAGAATAGCTAAAGTTCCTTTATGAAAGAAGCACCTAGTAACTGACCTGGACTGAATATAGATATAGGAAAGAGGAAAGAATCCCTCAAACTCTCAGAAAAGTCTCCAAAGGGAGATCCTCCCAGTAAGTCAGTCAACTGACCCTTGACTGTGTCTGGCCCAGGTCACTGGGCCTGTTCCTGCTGTCCGTCTTGTAAGATCCTTGCTAGAATAAACTGCTTGAGTATCAGATGGTGCCTAAGAGTTACCTTTAATGGGAATAAGACTGAAGGAGAAAAACTGCCCCTGGGGAAGCTGGTTAAATAGGACCAACTGGGAGCCCCAAATTTGATGGTCTATCAAGGTCTTGTCACTGCCAGTCATAATGATTAGGGAAATACTTTAGCATCGAAGACAAAGATGAAAAATTTATTCCTACTTTCTCCCCCATAGCAAATTTAGGATATTTTCATTTATTTGATAATAATTTATATATTCCTCTGGAAATATATTTATGTCACTTTGTTAAATTATTTGCTGTGTATGAAAATACATGAAATGAAGCCTGCCCACCAAGAGATTATAATTTATGAATGTTGCACATATAAAAAGATGACATGAAGACATTATTGATAATCAGTTACATGAAGGTCATATAAGAAATAGCTATAATTATGCTATAGTCAAAGGGGAGGAAGTAAGTAGAACATTAAAATTAGGTACACATGATTGCAAATCCATGTTTTACCATTTGCTAAGTGTATAGCTAATTATTACAAATAATTTGTCTGGTTATTTCTGTTACTAAGAATTGTCACTTATTGTTACAAACCAGTCTGTAACTCAGTTTTCAGATTTATTCTATGGGCATAATACCTCCTCACAGTCTCTCAAAAGGGTTAAATAAACTAAGGTAGTGAAGCACTGAACACAGTTCTTAGTATATGTTATGACATCAAAGGTTAGTACTTTTTATTATGGAAAGAACACAGAAAAAACAAGACGATTTAAGGTTTGCTGCAACCACATTCTTTATTTAGTTCTTAGGTTCTCCTAAAATAAAATTCCTGGAGTACTTACCTCAATATGAAGTTTTAAAATTACAACAGTATTGATAATTATTAAAATAAAAAATAGGCTGGGTATGGTGGCTTACTCCTGTAATCCTGCCAGTTTGGGAGGCTGAGGCAGGTGGATCCCTTGAGCCCAGGGGTTCCAGGTCAGCCTGGCCAACATGGTGAAACTCCATCTTTACAAAAAATACAAAAATTAGCTGGGTGTGGTGGTGTGCACCTGTAGCCTCAGCTACTCGGGAGGCTGAGGCACAAGAATTGCTTGAGCCCAGGAGGTGGAGATTTCAGTGAGCCAAGATGGCGCCACTGGACTCCGGTCAGGGCAACAGAGACAGACTCTGTCCCCCACCACTTGCCCCACCGCAAAAAAAGTTATAGAACATTGACTCTTCCATTCCCTATGCTAAGGGTGTTACGTCAAGTAATCCTCAACGGTACACTAAAAAAAGTATTGTTCTTATGACTGTACAATAAGGAAGCAATAGAAGAGATAGATCCATGAACTTGACTCAAATTTAAAATGGTGTAAACATTTTTATAGATAAAAATACACAGAGGAACGCCTTTACACATTGTTTAATTCACTTACTGTGACTGATAATGAAATGTACCTTTTAGAAAGTAATTTAAAAGACAAGAATATAAAACAAGCAATCAATAGCTTGAGCTCTGAAGTGCATTTCATAATGTGTTTCAGAATATAAATCAAATTAACTACAATGTATATTTGTCAGTGTTTAATAAAATATCAATATATAAATAGAAACAAAATGAAGGAGTTGCAGCTTTTCCTACAACCATAACCTGAATTTGTTTAGGTGCAATTTTTTTCAGTTGTTCCTACTTGTAAATATGGGAACAAGATGATAACATACTCTCCTATATCACTCTGCTATATCTCAAATGCAATGTGAAGACCCTGAATTAATAATTCACAAAATAATAACATTCAGGCATTTCTACTGTCCAATAATAGAAACATGCTGAAAAGATTCAAAGAATAATGAGGATATTAGAGATTCTAAAACATGAAATAACAAAAGACAAGCATAAATCAAACGAGAAAACAACTTTCTAGCAAGAGAATTTGAACATAGGTGGGACAATTGCCTTGGCTATTATTGACATACTTTCAAAACAATTATGGAATTTATAATGCTCTCTAAAAACACTTTGTGAGGTTTGATAGAGAAAGCCTTGTTTTAAAAAATCAGTGCTTCAGAAACCAGAATAAATGGATATAGAGATATAGTTACACAGGACTAGTAATAAAGATACTTTGAAGTTGTATTCACTTCACTCTCACACTCAAAAACCACAGAATCCACATTCTTCAGTATATAACTAAACACATTCCAAATTGTACTCATCCTCCCAAAGAAATACGGATAGTGTTTATCTTAGCAACGAATCAAATTTAATAGAAAATAAGAGATGGTTTAAAGTAGATGTGTCAATAGAGTTAGCATCATAAAATTTGGATTTTACCTGTCTTTAAAAAAATTAGGTGATTTTGAAAGAAAACAAGTTTGTATTCAAAATAAGTTTTTGATCTAATGAATATACAGGTACTGTTTTAAACTCTTTATATATTCTCCTTTAATCCTCATATCATCTCTGTGGGGCAGATAGTACAATACATAATGATCCTCTTAAAGAGAAGCCTGAGGCATGGAAAAATTATGTATCTTGTTCAAAATCTCATAATTAGTGAGTGGAGAACTTTCACACGAATATCTGACTTGTACATTATGTATGTAATTTGCCTAACAAGGTTAGTATTTTATCATTTTTATGATCATGACTATCATAACCAGTAATATATCACATCTGTTGAGTACCTTATCACCACTAAATGCTTTTTCACACAGCAATGTGTTTGGTTTGTATAGAAACCTTTCAAGTGAACAGGGTAAATATTAATGTTCCCATTTTACAGACAGAGGCAAGTAAGTAACATTTCACCACAAGGAAAAGCAGAGCCAGAGAAGAAACCTGGGCTTTTTTCACTCACAGTCCAGGCTGATTTACATAATTCAAATACTTGTGTCACTGCAGTAAAATTACTATCTGAAATATCTTATTAAGTCTCTCTCTCTCTCTCTCTCACACACACACACACACCCCTTAAGAAGCTATAAATGCAAACAGGTTAGAATGACTACTTAGTGTGTAATATTTACTGAGCATACATTTAAGTGATGGTGCACTGTACTTCTGTGGACATAATAGTTCTGACTAAAATTCAGCATCCAATCTCCTTTTTAGAATATATGTCAGAGAAAGCTCTGGGCTCTCAAAATAATGTTAGCATCAAACAAATAAACAAAGAATGAACACTCTGTTTAGATAATTTACTTTACATAATAAAATCAGATTGACCAGAGCTCAATTAGCTTTAGGAAATTCTAGCATCTTGATTATAGATGTTTAGAACTTGTTACGTTATTAGATTTGCTTAATAAATAATAGATGATAAAAGATATTATTTGACATCATATCTTACCTTGCTAGGGACTGTCACTTAATTTGTAAGGCAGAGAGAAATAACTGTCTTATAACAAGTGCAATAACCAAGTTCTTGTTCTCTCCTTTTATAGAGGGGTTATCATTAGGTGGTAGGTGCCAAGCCAGAGGCTGTACTTTTTTAGCCTCTAGATGCTGACTAGCTGTTATACTAGTAATGCTTAAGTCTTAAGGTCCCTCACTGCAAAACGCTCTTCCAAAGCTTTATATCTCATTTTGTATTAATAATTTGTATCTTTTTTTTTTACATCAGAAGGAAGCTCTAGTATTTTATAAGCATCAGAACCTGCAGTATTTGAAAATTGCAGCTCCCTTTTACATCCAGATAAGGGTACATGGCTAGTTCTCATCAAAGGATGGCGAACAAAAGTGTATTTATAATTTTTAGCCTGGGCTTTTAAGAAATAAATTGTGCTTCTTCATGTTGTTATTCTTTCTGTTGGATGGATACTAATGCCTAAGGCATTTATCAGCCTAAATGATTCTATGGCACAGAGATTCACTACTCCACTGACAGTATGAACACCCTTTGTGAGCAAGAAGTAAATCTCTATTCTTTTAAGCCTTTGAAATTTTGGGTTTATGTGTTATAGGAGTTTGTGTTACCCTAACTAACAGAGGTCATGATTTGAGTTGGGGCTGAAATTGCCATTCAAAGTTAAACAAACTGGATAAAAATCTGTTCTATATCAAACTTGAAACAGACTACTTCAAATATCCAAAACTTTTACAAGAAATAAAACTGTTCTTTAATTATAAGGTGATGAGTTTCATGATAAAGTTGAAGAACACAAAGAGAGGCTTCCCCCTCCCTTTCATAATATGGGTGGCATGGAAGTTCTCCTGTCTACAGTAAGGAGGAGTGGATATGTTTTTGAAACAAGGAAAGTAAGACACAATAAGAATGCCATATATATTATAAAATAGAACACTAATAAAAATAACTTTTAAAATATTGTGAGCTGTAAGGCAAGGGCAGTGGCCTTGGGGAAGGACAGACCTGAATTTATACATTGGTTTTATCTTTCACAAGCTGCTTATCCTTAGATGAGGTTCTTAATCCCTATGCCTTTTACCATATCTGTCAAATAATGTCCTCTTAGCATTTGTCTCTGCTATTAATATTGTTGTTGGTGGTGACAGTGGTGGTGGTGTGTGTGTGTGCATGTGTGTGTGCAAATGTGTGTCTATGTGTGTGTGTATGTGTGTGTGAGAGAGAGAGAAGTGGAGACATCATAGTAGCTTGCAAGTCAGATAATTTTTCTCCTTAAACTGATAAAGAATTGAAATATTATCTAAAAATTTATTTAGCTATCATGCCACACTGTTAAAAGAGAAAAATAAAAATCATGGAATTGAGTTCTCTTAGCAGAGTTTGAAAATATGGAAATGAATGTTTTGTGAGCCAGACAACACATGAAATGACAACCTGACAGCCACTGGAGGTGCATAAAGAAATATTCCCATCTGGCTATAAAATGGGAATAGTTATGATCAAAGGATGAACAGCTTGCATAAGAACACAGAGTAGGGATCAACTAATTTTGCTTTGTGAAGTACAGGAAGGAGCTACATAAAATTAGATGAAAAATCGGGGCAAGGATATGTCATTCAGATGAAACAAAATGCACATGCCACTGAGGCATGAATGCTTCCAATGGGTGTAGGGAAGCTTGAAAAGGTCCAGGAACTGGAGCTTAAAGTAATTGTGTTCAACCTCCATGAAAAGCTCTCTGATTGTAATGTGGCAGCTGGAATGACTTTAGGAAGAGTGTCGAGGGATTCCAGGTAAGAGATAGGTAGTTTCTGAGCAGAACCAATGACACCACATACAGAAATAATCTGGGACCAGCAGTGCACAGTGTTCACTCCACCTGGAAAGCCCTTACCATTTCTCCTTCAAACTCTTCCTTCAATTGTTGCTCAAGGTTTACCTCCTTTAGGAAGCCTTCCTTGACTACAGAGGTTGAGTTACGTAACCCTCATCTGGGCACGTATTGCCCCTGTGCTGCCTCTATTATAGCACTTCTCAAACTGCTATTATAGCACTTCTCAAACTGTAAACATTTTCATGTGAAATGTTAAATTACTTCAATTCATTTGCTCACATGAGCATCCAATAGAGTCTGACAGTGTGGAGGTAGAGAACAAATCAGATAGGAGTCTAGAAATCTTAGAAATACGTGAAACTGGATTTAAAAAATGAGAAATGGAATGCAATTTGGATTCAAAGCCTTGGGGAGAGGAATTCATGCAAGTGGAAACAGCCCAAGAAAACACAGATGTGGGAAAGCAAAGGGCGAGTGCAGCACGTTTTTTGAGTTTAGTTTAATCATGAGGTAAGTGAGGGTGATGCACTGGAAGCCATTTGAGGAAATTGATTGAGGTCCTATAGTTTAGAACTTCTAATTCTAGATAAAGACTTAAGACATTGATTCTAAGAAGAATAGCAGCCTAAGACTTTTTTTTTTTTTTAAGAATCCAAATGACACAGAACTGTGCTTCTAACAATGACCGGCAGTTGTAGGTAGGATAAGAGGCAGAGAAAACTACTTGCAGCAGAGAATCTAGTTACGAAACTCTGCTTTGGGCAAAACAGAGAAGTAATACTGCTAAGCCAAGGTATTAAGAGATGTCTTACTCATTTTGGGGGGTGGTGAGGGAGGATCGCACTGTAAGGTGTACCAAAGCAGTTAGTACAAATATGTATAAAAGGGTAGATGAAAGACAAAATTGCTTCCTAGGGGTATAGCCTATCAAGTTGGCTCAGTCTTGTCATCTGCCAGTAAAAGGCAAAAACACTCTACTTTGTCAAATATAGTGCTAACAATATGCATTGCCAGCCTCATTTGATATAGCAGAAAATGTAAACTCTGAAATGTAGGTAAAGATGTGAAGCTGGACTACATTAAAAACAAAAAGTGTAGAAATGTCGAATTCCTTGATTCTCTGCTTTTCTTCCCAAGTACTCTCTGCTCACCATGGATAATCATGAAAAAGAAGGAGTAAAGGAATCTCTTTCTTCTAGGTCAATAAAACTATAACATATTTTAAAAATGCTCACTTAAGTAAGAAAGCCTACAATGGTTATTGGCAAATTGGGTTGGTAATTATTTGGAGCTGACATTTTTGGATTACAATTAATCAATAAGGCATAAGCCAAGGGTGTGTTACTTCCAGATAACACACTCCTTGGAAAGTGCTGTGAGGCATAAGGGGTGAATTAGAGCCTCCAATGAGCTGGGAAATGTGTTATCTCTCTGTAGCACAACTCTTAGGTTGTATTAATACCACATACATGGCATTAGATACACTAGTTGTTTATGGAGTGATTGTACCATGTAAAACATATGTTTAAAACATGTTTACCCTTGTGGGCCGGCAATGGTTGCTGATTTGGAAACATCAGTCATAACATTCATTATCAACTAATAGGTGAATGGGCCATGACTTCTGCACTCTAAGCATTGTGCGCCCTGGGAGGTCTGTGCTCTGGGCGCTAGAGACTAGCCCTTGATAACAATCCTTTTCATTTCAGTTGAGCTGTTTTAATGATTTCTTCCAGTTGGCACTTAAATATTTATGTAAATGAATGGAGTAAGGTAGTTCAAAATTGAATTTAAAATGCGAAGCTTTTTTTTTTCTTTCTATATCATTTTGACTGATTTTCATAACTAGGCTGCCAGTTACTGGGCTTGCATTTGATTGACAGAAAGTGATTTCTAGTTCAGACAACATCAAACACCTCAGCACTTCATCCTGGAAGATGTTTCGGTAGTTAAAGAGACCACGCTGGACAAAGAACCCTTTAAAGCCAGCTCTTTCTTTCTCCTAGTGAGTACCACAGTGAGAAACACCAAGAGAAAGAAAGACCCATCTTTAATCTGTTTTGCTGAGGGAAATCAAAGAGAGTGAATTAAAACCAAGAGTAGCTTCTTATGCTCATTGGAGAGCCTCTTTTTCTCTGCTCCATTTGATATAACAAATAAGATCATCAAAGTAAGTCAAGCACAGGTCCAGAACCTGCTGCTCCTTGACCTCAGCTTCCTCCCTGCTTGCACAGCCTCCCTTGGAATTTCTTGTGATGTCAAATCACAAAGCTACATGAAGTGGCTAGACCCCAGGAGCAGAGAGGAAATTTTATTTTTAGATTCCTTTTCTGTGACTCTAGTAAAATAATATGAAGTTCTTTTATGGCTCTATCTAAGAGTTTTAATAAATCTGTTGCATTTCAAAGCATGAAAGGGTGATAACAAAAAAATTCTCTCTTGACTGCTTCTAGCCACGAGGTCATCTTCAGAATATCTGTAGAGTCCCAGTGACATGGTGTCAACTGGTGTTCACTGCTGGAAGTTATAGGAAATTTCACCCCACCCAGTGTATACCTATCTCCAGATGTGTTACATAAAAACATTTCATACAATGGAAATTTTTTTCATAGAAAATAACATACTTTATAATTTGGTGGTCTTACAGCATTTGATATGATTTAAAAAAATGCTTTCTTCACATGTTCCTCACTATTAAAATTTTTATTGAACACTTTGATAAACCTGTTTTAGTTAAAATTAAATTTAGAAATGGTGATAATATAATTATCAACATCATCAAAATTTTTAGTATTACTAACAAATGGTCCACATAGTAACAAACAGAAATACCTTTCCTTTTATATTTTCTCATCCTTTGTTTTTTTCATGCTGTTTAGATTTTATGTGTCAGGAAGGCTCACATATATGCTTAGATTTTTTAATCAGACTGGCCAGAATTATGTATTTGGAAATAAGAGGCACAAATTGTGAGTGATATAAAATAGGGTCTATTGGGAATGAAGTGGGTATTAATCATATATTCATTTAGTGATTTAATAAATTTTAATTGTATGCCTGCTATACACCAGGTGCTCTTCTTGGAACCAAGAGTTCAGTGATGATTTTCCAAATGCATCATTTATATTTTTATATAAATCATTATATTTTTACATAAAATATACAGTTTTACATAAACCTATCTAATAAATAACTTTTAATTATTTAGCCTTATTTATAAAATCAAAAGTACCTTTAAGTGGATACGATTTACCAGGCTTTGTATTAGAAAAAGCAGAGAATATCAATACCAGGCAGCCATCTCTGCCTTCTGTAAACATAGACTCTAACAGGAGGAATAAAGCAGTTAACTTAATACACGTAATATAATGAAAAATATGCCTTGAAATGAAAGTAAAAATTGAATGCAACAAGATTCAGGAGGAGTCACATCAGACTCAAGAAAACGGGAAGGCTTTGGACAACGGCAAAAGCTCAGAATGAGAGAAACCATGAGCACTTTTGCAGGAATAGTCCACTTTGTCTGAAGTAGGAGATGTGTGTGCATGATCATGGAAAATTCACTTAGAAAGGCTACAGATGATCCCATTGTGATATGACACAAAGGCCAGGTTAATTAGTTTATGGTATGCCATTAGTCAATGGCCAGGAGTAGAAGCATTCTGAAAAAGCAAATGTCTTGATCAAAGTACTGTTTTAAAAAATAAGTCTAGTAGGTAAAATATTGGGACAGAAAGAAAATGAAGGCAGAGAGAACTAGTTGGGACGTTCTTGTAATTATAATTCCAAAACTTCCTGTCTGAGTAATTGCCAGATCAGATTGTGGGAGAAAGAAAATGAGCACATGAAACACTCTTGACTGCCCCAAAGAGCCATATCAATTAGGTTTCAATCTGGAAGGCTCATCACTTCTTCAGGGAAAACAACAACAATAAGAAAATACAGGGGGGAAATAAACGCAGAAACAAAAATAATATCTACTTGTAAGAGTGATGAGTGAGTGAAGAGGAAGATAAGAAATTAGTAAGGATGAGAAGTGAGAAAAAAAAAATAACTCCAGAATTTGGCAAAATCTCAGTAGTCGACATGTTATACCACTCCCTTCTTGAAATACCCCTTTTTTGGATTTTGTCTGTTTTATTGTCAGTATCTCTTAATCTTATCCCTTTCCACCCCTTCCTCCAATATATTATGTTGGGAATTCTTTTGTGCATAGAAAAACATTTAAGTTACAGTTGTAATTTGTGCCATTTGATTCTGTAATCTTAGGTAGTCGGCATCGAACTCCAATTTTCCGACACACTATTCTTCAAACTAATGAATAGTTTTAATTAATTTATTTATTATTAAACAATGGAGTTAAGGGGACAAGTATCTCAATTTTTTTCCAGTGACAAGCTTTCTTTTCGGCTCACATAATTATGTAAGAGTAATATTAACTTTTGCCTTAACACTATTTTTCAACGACTCCTGTGCATTTTTTATAATTGTTATCCATGTCAACAAGGAAGAAAAACTCCCCTCTATTGTGATGTAACAGCAAAAGTAGGACCACAGATGTCAATTAAAATACTAAGGCTAGCAATGAATCTTCAGTATTTTTATATACATATGGCCTTTCCCTCTAAGAGAAGCGTTGCAATTCTTTTAATCATTATATTCCACTCTAGGCAGTAAACCCAGATTGAACTGGGTTTTACTGACAAAATTGTACAGTTCACACAAAACGGATTTTCAAAGTGGCATTTCAACAAGCTGAATTCACCATTTTTAATAGATAAAGGCACTAGGGCTGTAACTCTCATCTTTAAGAATAAAGGCTACTTTCCAGTACAACTGTTCTTTATTTTAATTTGTGCCTGAGATGCTTTGTGAAACACAAGGTCATTTAAAATTAGGGATAAGGCATTTTTTTTCCATCATTTCCATTTCATCATATGCAATTTTTGATCACAATGTAGCTTGCGTAAAACTGCAAATCCTTCAAATTATGGGGTTTGTTTCCAGCCCGCTGAGAGGGAAATTAGATATAGAACTTCTGTCTCCTGTTAATGTTAATGGGAATTGCATGTCTAATTCCCTTAGAAGCCCAGAACAAATGTATGCTTATGAGTCAGCATTACTGGGTTTTCAGGGCCTTTACCCTTTAAAAGTGTCATTAGTTTGAATAATAGCCAATCCCTCTGGTTACTCCAAACACAGCCCCAGCTACTGTAGTTGGAATCTCTAAGACTTCAGCTCTCACAAATAGCCTGAACTACTCTCAAATCTGAACACTCCCATATGTTAGCCACTTTTGTCCATTTGGAATAAAATTCAAACTCCCAAATTATTCAGTTTTTATGTTTGTATCTTAAACTTTTATATTGTGAGGGTAATACTTCTTAGGCAGTAAGATTATTTTTTATGATTCATTTTTAAAAAGTGCTTTTTTTCATTTGACTCCTCAGAAATGTATTCACTTTTGCTGTGCATTTTCTCTGATTACACTATTAAAAAATATTACCCCTTACAGGCAAAATTATTTAAAACAATTCTGTGTATTGCGCTTTGTTCCTGAAGTTTTTGTTCTCAGTAATATTATAGTGATATTCATTGCTGAGTAATCAATTATATTGCATTACATCATAAGTAGAGAAGGGCATCTTTTTGTAAAAGTAAGATGATGTCAATGAGGTTTTCAAAATCAAGAAGAATTTCAGAAACACCTCATTGATATTTTTTGTTTGAATGAAAGATTCTATTTTTTTAATCTTGCTGAATGGAAATAATTGAAGAATATTTTAAAAGAAAGGGCAATGATACAGAAACTTGACCAACTGTTATGACTGTCATCATGAGCCAGCTCTTTCCTATAATCTTGTTACTCACAGTGTGTCCTCACCTGGAAACATTTTAGAAATTCAAAATCTCCTTCCTGTCCCAGTCCTTTTGAATCTGCATATTCATACATTTCATAGATGAATTTTCTACTTACTGAGTTTGGAGAGCACTGCTCCCTAATACTTAAACAAACTCTAAGCATTTAGAATTAGTATGCTTTTGAAACCAGAATTTTTTTTTCATAATATTCCGTCTTATATAGAAACCAGTGACCATTCATTAAGTTGTAGACATTTGCTTTTTCTGTTAAATTTTTTCCTTACAACATAAAAAGAGCTCCTATAAAGCAATCAAAGACTTGAACAGTGTATGTGTTCTGGAAACATAAATGAGCACATTTGTCTCACCAGATAATCATTTATTTAATTTATTGGTTCTTAAAGTAAAGATGCATGAGAATAACCATTGAGTTTATAAAATGCAGAGTCTTGGGACACCATCCCCATTCCAATCCCCATCCCCATCCTCCACCATCCATCTCCCATCCCCAGCTGTCTCTATTATATTAGTCTAGTTGGCATCTAGAATCTGTGTTTTTTAAAATCACCCCAGATGATGTGAGATTTCCCTTGAAAACACTTTGAGACAAATGATCTAATTCTTTTTATATGCCAAATGTGTTCTTTTCATTCCTGAGCTGTATGGCATAGTTCTAAGTTACCACAATTTTGCATTTTGTAGTTCAGGCAAAAAATGTGGGTAAATAGTTAGAAATAACACCACTGAGCCTTGAAACTTTTCATTTACCTGTTAATGAAAATATCAAAGTCTCTATGTGACTAGGAGTAATTGTATAATATGATTTCAAAAAGGTATAGCCAAAATTTTGTTTTCAGCCATAGCTCATTGAGGGTATTAATTTTGCCATTTTTTAAAATGTAAGGTGCCATAATTTGAATATTTAAGAAATAATTATGCTGACTTTTAAAATTGTGCCATCAAAATAAGGACTAAAATTAATATAATGTTTGAATATTTGAATTCTTGAATAAATAACAGTTCAGTGACTAAAGTGTTGTCAATCTCTCTGTGTCTAGGGATTTTTTCAACCATTTCAGAGTTTAATATTGTAAAGATTTTATTTATTCAGAAATAATTAATGGAGATATGAAAATGAATATATTGTTCAGGGGAAGTCTACAGATAAACACACACATGCCAAAGTCCAATATTTCAAAGAGAGTATAAATGAAAATGAGAAGATGAAGAAGTAGTTTTCAGATGCATTTGAAGAGAAGCGAACAGAGAAATAGGAAGAAAACAGGAAAACACGTTTGAAATTAAATTAATTTCAGCCACAAAAATAAAAATAATTACTTTCCTCATATATTGGGGACACTTAAAAAGCATACTTATAGTTAACCCTTAAGCAAGAAAGAAAATAAGATTGAAACTAATGAATATTTGATATTGTGAAGAGTGCTGCAATGAACATACACATACATGTGTCTTTATAACAGAATGATTTATAGTCCTTTGGGTATATACCCAGAAATGGGATTGCTGGGTTGAATGATATTTCTGTCTTTAGGTCTTTGAGGAATCGTCACACTGTCTTCCACAAAGCCTGAACTAATTTACACTCCCACCAACAGCGTATAAACGTTCTTTTCTCCACAACCTCACCAGCATCTGTTATTTTTTGAAGCCATTATCCTCAGCAAACTAACACAGGAACAGAAAACCAAATACTGCTTGTTCTTACTTAGAAGTTGGAGCTAAATGATGAGAACACATGGACACATAGAGGGGAACAACACGCACTGGGGCTTATTGGAGGGTGGAGGGTGGAGGGTAGGAGGAAGGAGAGGATCAGCAAAAATAACTCATAAGTACTAGGTTTAATATCTGGGCAATGAAATAATCTGTATAAAAAATGTCCATGACACAAGTCTACCTGTGTAACAAACCTGCACTAGTACCATTACACTTAAAATAAACGTTTTAAAAAAGAAAATAATGAATACTTACTACAAAATGTCAATTACAATGAACATATCTGTCATCAAAGCCTGAGGATGCATTAAAAGGTGGCAAACGGAGGGTAACCTATAGCGTTGAAGTACAAAATGAACAGCTGAAAATATATATGACAAGTGTGTTAAATACAAGAAGCTAGACATAAGTAAAATAAATTAAACTTAAAGAAAAAAGAAATGAAGTTAATAATAAAATAGATATCAAAAATAAATAATATGGATGTATTGCTATTTATTAAATATTATATTGAATATTGATATATAGATATTTTATTTACAAGGCCTAGTGAATATGGTAAATTTTACCGAGATTAATCAATTGTATAATAAGACAACAATAACAGCAAATTGAAGGCACCCAGGGAAGTTTCATGTTATGGAAGTCAATGGAAATGACTGTGATAAGAAAGAATAGTTGAATAAATTAAGACCTAAGAATTCTCCACTTGACTGGGGCAAGGGCATCAGGTGAATTTGGAGACAACAATTTTAAGAAATTTTGGGTGTTGTAGGAGAAAATAAGGTTACTCTGTTTTAGGAATAAATAATATATTAAGAATTGAAGACAATAAAGATAATGAAGACAGTAAAGGTAGTAAAGACAATGAAGACAGAGTATTCAATACTTTTTGTTGTAAAGGGAAGGGGAGAGACAGTGAGAAGCTGGTGGGGAACATGAGACAGAAGGAAGTTTTTCATATTTCAGCTGTGAGGGTTGAAGATGCAGGCATAAGGGTAGTTGATTGGACAAGCTCATGGGGCATGTAGGAAGGGAATGGATACAGAGCACAGGTGAGAGAAAGAGCCGTAGAGGTTTTATTACAAGAGAAACTAAGGAAGAAATAATAGGTGCAGACACAGTTATAGTTGCAAGTTTGTCAGTTCTTTGCTAATAGATTTTACTTTGTTTTGAAGCAGAAAGCAAAGTTATAGGACAAAATAGAGAAGTAGTTATACTCAGAGGTTTGAGTAAAAAAAGCAACTTAGAATAATCACCCTGGAAAGTGAGGTAGTAAGCAGATCAGACAAAGATCACAGCATGGCCAGACATGAATGAATTTGAAGATCATGAAGCTATAGTAGCCCTAATCTGCACAGTTAAATTTTTCTTTTCATCTCTACCCAGTAAGCTGGGTGAGGTTGAATTTATCAAGGGTTAAGATTTCCCAGATAGGTTTTGTCAGAAAGAGGAGTGAAAAAAGTTGTGGAAATAGATAAAAGAATGGTTTAAAATTATGGACAATGGGATTTGAATTGGATGAACAAAGAAGTGGCTCATAAAAGGGATTAGCAGATACTGGGAAGTGGTGAAAGCCATAGTTGAGCAAGTAGAAAAGTGAGAGACTGGAATGTCAAATTCAACAACCTTCTGGACAGTGAGTAATCCATGATCATTGCAGGATTTAGGGTGAGGAAATCTGGGAGCAAGTGCAAAGCATCTGACAGATGAAGGGGCCTGATGAGAGGTCATGTCAGCGCAAAGGAGGCAAAGGGCTTCTAGTTAACAGGGTGGAGAAATTTGGATCTGTCCATCTTAGTGTGAAGAGAGGAGGATGCGACATCACTCTCACTGCAGGGTAAGGCATGTGGAGAGTGAGCAGTTTGTATTTGACAAGGTGAAGTTATATCCCCAGTGAAGAGCCAGGTTTTACTTAAGGCCAGTGGACAATGAGAATGTTCTGGGAGGAGGGTAAAGAACTAGGTAGTTTGTCCATCAGAGAATAGAAAGATTTCAAAGGGTAGCAGTAAAATCAGATGGTACAGCCCATTTGAAAGAAATAATAGAGTATGAGGGCCGGGCACGGTGGCTCACACCTGTAATCCCAGCACTTTGGGAGGCTGAGGCAGGCGGATCACAAGGTCAGGAGTTTGAGACCAGCCTGGCCAACTTGGTGAGACCCCGTCTCCACTAAAAAAATACAAAATTTAGCCGGGCATGGTGGCATGTGCCTGTAATCCCAGCTACTCGGGAGGCTGAGGCAGGAGAATTGCTTGAACCCGGGAGGCGGAAGTTGCAGTGAGCCGAGATTGCACCACTGCACTCCAGCCTGGGTAAAAGAGCAAGACTCTGTCTCAAAAAAAAAAAAAAAAAATTAATAGGGTATGAGAACAGATTCCAAGGGAGATTTAATCATGAGCAATGAATAAAATGTCTACTCCAAGCTATGAATGATTAGACAGTCCAAAATATTGCCAAAGAACTAGTCTGGTGGAAGCCAAGAATTTAGGTAAATGATTTTTGAAGCATATGCTTACAATACATAGTTGCTTATATTTTTCAGTGACATCCTCACTCTTTTCATGTGGAGGCTTTCTGTATTGATTTCTGGAGACCAAAAACAACTATTTCTGGTGTGTGTTATCTTTTCTGTTACAAACGGCATCATTTTCTGAAGATAAGAAGAGAGTGAGCTGCATAGAGTTAAAAATTTATGTAGTTTTAAAACCTGACAGAGCAATAAAGCAATAGCAGGCCTAAGGAGAGGGATAAGATATCAGAAAACTTCTTCATCCTGCTGTGGGTCTGGCCTGGATTTTGCAGAGGATTTTGTTCCCTAGAAGATGGACAGCACTCAGGGTCAGATGAGAGGGAAAGGGAAGAACTGAGAATACTTAGGTACATGATAAAAGGTGTGATGGCAAGATGAGCTTTATATATGTATAGGTACATTGGTTAATGATTCTTTAGAGGTTGAGATATCAGGAGTCAGTAAGAAAATACAACTGTGGAAGGCAATCTTGGGAACAAGACATTTAGCTTTAGGAAGTATGATCTTATTTTATTTCACACCATTTTTCCTAGTACTTAATGAGTTTCAGTGACTTGGCCCTTCTTTCAATTTCTCAATCAAGTCATGCTTCTTCTTGCCCCATGCCCTTTGCACGTGCCATTCCTTTAATCAAGAATATTCTTGCTTCTCATTATCTTAGACAATCCCTACTCATTCTTATGATCTCAGCTTAAGTGTAACCTCCAAGTTAGTCCTCCTATTACTTTTTAAATAGTTCTTGGAGTTTTCTTTACAGGAAATTTAATTACGTAGTTATTTGCCCTAATCATACAATCAACATCCTTCTCAGTCACATGTCCCTAAGCCCCATGTGGGCAGGGAACAAAAAAGCTTTCTTTACTGCAAAGTTTTAGCACTTAAGGGAGCACCTGGCACAATGCCAAGTGCTTTAAATGGCTGATTAAGTGAATCAGCACAAAAATGCCAAGTGTTTTTAAATGTACAATTATAAAAATTTAGCACTATGAAAACCTGTGTGAATCAGGTGTAAATTATTTATTACTGTACAAATATTTCTATTAAATAAAAAGATTTTAAGAAATGAACATTTATCTCCAATGAAACAGTATTCTCTCAGTCCAATTAAGCTAGTTTACTGTTGGATAAAATAGTAAGGATACCAGAATTACTTCTCTTACCACAGAAAATGAAATAACTTCTGTGTGAAACTAAGATTTGTGTTTGCATATTATATAATTAAAGATACATGTGTCAATATAGGTAGTTTCTAATGGGGTATTTCTCAAACTAGGTAGAACTGTGGTTCTTTTCAAGGAGTGGAGGGATGAACACCCATTTTATAGACTCTTTCAAAAGATCTACAAACTCAATCTAGTTTGCAACAGAAGAGGAAAGATTATTGTTTAAAATAAAATCAAATGTGTATCTTAAAGAGATTTTCATTGATAAACTGTGAGAGGAAAAGAGGCCACATAAGATACCTAAATACAAGAGGAAAGACACATAAAAAAAATCCCTAAAATGTTATGCTTGTGTAAGTAAGAATTATTTTAATAAAGCCCATTAACTGATGGCATGTACAGCTCTTTTTCTTCCAGCTAAAAGGCATTAGAAAAAAAAAGTCAGTTGGAAAACGGACTGTTTGGCTTACTGAAGGAGTAAAGGCTACATAGACTTCTAATTAGATAATTAGTTTCAGTAATGTTAGGTGTGATTTTTTTTTGTTGAATCAGCCATACAAACAAAACATAAAAAGTGCAGCTTTAGGATAAAAATAAGGAGTAATAAGAATTCAAGTAATTGCAGGCTAGTTGTGACCTTAGGCAACTGAATTCATTGATTTCAATCCTTGGGCAAGAGACTATAGAAAAGAATACCCATGAAAGCTTCCTTTCCAAACACCTGGCCAGACACATGGGTTAGGAAAAATCAGAGCAGTTCTGTTTTGTTTCAGTCTTTTTAAAAACAAAATCTTACAAGGCTCATGATAGACTTAGAAGAGGATATTTACAAACTAAGACTGTATTATTGGATAACTGAAAATGTTTTTAGAATGTACTTAATTTTTTTAAAAAAATAACATTTACTGTTCTCTGGCTATACCATTATATATGGTTATTGTAAAAAGTAAAATCAAGAGAACAAAGAAATAACATGTGATAAAAATAATGTAATCGAACATGAAAATAGCTATTTGTAACTAATTCCAGCATTTGCCATTGCAGTCTCCTAATGTTAATGTTCAGAACAGAATGGCTAAATCAAACTTTGGGATGACACATCAGACATGGGAAAAATAATTATCTGACTCAGCACAGCAGTAAAAGTCCTCAAATTCTTTCCTGCTGCCAACTGAAATTATAGGCAACTATGGGTGTAACTGGAAAAAAACACCACAAGTGTTATGGTTTGAATGTGTCCTCTCCAAAATTTAACTATTACCAATGTGATGGTAGTAAGAAGTGGGGCCTTTGAGAGATGATTAGGTCATTAGGGTTCCCCCCTCCTTAATGGGACAAAGGCCCTTCTAAGAGAGGCATCATGAGGTGTTTGTCTAGCTTTTTAACTTATATTTCTCCCTTCTGCCATGTGAGGACACAGCAAGAAGGCCCTTACCAGACACCAGATGCAGGTGCCTTATGTTGGAGTTCCCAGCCTCCAGAATCCTAAGAAAATAAATTTCGCTTCTTTATAAATTACCCAGTCTTAGATATTCTGTTATAGCAGCACAAACAGACTAATATAGGAACTGGCATCAAAGAAGTGGAATATTGCCAGACAAATACTTAAATATGTGGAAGTTGCTTGGGAGCTGGGTAATAAGTAAAGACTTTGTAATAGGTAGAAATTGAAGTGAACGGTGGAAAAAGCATGTATTGCCATGAACATTAAGGGTGAATATGGTGAGGGCTCAGAAGGAGAGAGCTGTAGGAAAAGCTGAATCTTCCTAGAGATTACTTAAGTGATTGTGAACAGAATGTTAGTAGAAATAGGACATGAGGTCTTAGATGGAAATAAGGAATATCTTATTGGAAACTAGGGGAAAGGCCATCCTTGTTAGAAAGTGACAAGGAACTTATATCAATTATATCCATATCTCAGGACTTTGTGGAAGGCAGCATTTAAATGTCATGGACTAAGATATTTGGTAGAAAAATTTTCGGAGCAGCAAAGTATCAGGATCATACTTGTCTTCTCTTAATGGTGTATTCTAAAACACGAGAAGAGAGAAACAGTTTAAAGATAGATTTTAAATTAAGAGGAAAACAGAATGTAATGTTGTCAAACTCTCAGCCTACCCATGTAAAGAAAACAAAAAGGCATTTTGAGGAGAAAGCCAAGGGTGTGGCCAAGAGACCATTTGCTAATGAGATTATTATGAATAGAAGGAATCCACGTGTTATTTATCAGGACAATGGGACAATGACCCCAAAGGCATTTCAGAGATCTTTTGGGGCTGTCCCACCCATTACAGGACCAGAGTGCTAGACTCCAGAGAACAGAATTATTTCCAGGGAGAGGCCCAGGGCACACGAGGAACATCTATGCTCACTGCCCAGGGTCTTCTCTCTCCAGGGTCTGGTCTCTCACCAGAGGCATTTGCTCTCTGCCTTCTGGTGTAGTGCTTCTTAACTACCCTGGTAATAGCTCAAATGGACCCAGGTGCAGCTTGAACCTCCACTCCAGAGGGCATAAGCTATCAGCTTTGGCAAAGTCCATGTGGCACTAACTATGTAGGCTTGCAGAATGCAAATGCTACCTCCACCTAGTTTTCCCTGTAGGGCATGGCTACCTCCACCTAGTTTTCCCTGTAGCAAGTCTCTGCCTGGGCCCCGAGGCTGTCCATCTTAGACAGCTCAGTCCCTTGCTACAGGGACAGAGTCACCACAAAGAGCCTCACTAAAGCAATGCAGAGTAGAGCTGTGGGGATAGGGCTGCCCCTGAGATTCCAGAACTGTAGGGCTAACAGCCTACAGATACCAGCTGCTTGTTTTTTTCATTCTTATATCTGTTTCTTCAATTTTTCTTTGAAGAAATGCCCATTGTCCACACTTGGTTCAGGGTGGTACAGTTTCTGTCATCAGTTCCAGGTTTTGACATAGGGCCTAAGATAATAAATCATTTCAATTTACTCAAATTTCCATGTCAGCCCCAATAATTGCTTCAGGAATTAGGCATGTGAGTCCGTTTAGGCCAATAGGGATCAGGCTGGGATGTTTTATGGATATAGTTGGAAAATCATGTTCTTTTCTGTTGAACTTGAACCAAGTGGACAAAAATCTAGAATTCTGTGGAGCTACCACAAAAAGAGAGCCTACCTTATTGAAAGTGAAGCCAACATAGATCATAATAGAGTTGAGCTCCTAGATCTTAACTTTTATGCATCTGACACTACCCACGGACTTTATAATTACACAATCCAATTCATTCTTTTCTTTTCCCCTCTTAGTTAAAATGAGGTTTTTAGTTACTTTTAACCAAAACAGCTCCAGTGATCTTTTAGGTTATATGATCTTTTGGCCAATAAATTTTCAGCTCTATATGGAGGAAAAAATAAATTATAAAAATATATTTACAAAAACCTAAAGAGGTATAAAGATAATCACACTTCTTCACATGTACCCATTCTTTCACACACCAATTTATAAGATCCAATTGCTTTATAGATGAATTACTTCTACTCTTTATGTAATGGATTATCCCTATGAATTAACTTGGCCTGGAGCAGTGCCATTCCATATGGTAGCCACTAGCTACATGTGGATAGGGCACTTGCAATGTGTCTAGTCTGAATTGAGATGAACTGCAAGCATATAGAACATACTGGATTTTGCAGACATGAAAAAAAAGAATGTAATATATTTTTAATACTTTTGTATTGATTACAGATTGAAATGTTAATATTTGGACAGGTTGAGTAAATAAAATATATTATTTAATTTTATGTCTCTTTTTACCTTTTAAATATGACTAATGAAAAAAATTTACATTATACATGTGGCTCACATTTGTGGTGTGCATTGTATTTATACCAGACAGCATTCGTCTAGAATATATAAATGAAATGTTAAAACTTTATTAATTATATGTTTCTTTATGTGAATGTTCTGTGATCTGATGCTATTGTGCAAATATGTATCACCTTAATATACAAAACTTTGAAAGTACTTAAAATAAACAAGCAGACATGCATTGCCTTTGTGAATATAGGGCACTATCTTGTGTGTATTGTGCCTAGCAGTAGTTTGAAAATATTGACAAAAATGGACTTATCATTATGGAAACAAACTCTTTCCTTCCTTCTTTCCTTCCTTCCTTCCTTCCTCCCTCCCTCCCTCCCCTCTCTTTCTTTCTTTCTTTTCTTTCTTTCTTTCTTTCTTTCTTTCTTTCTTTCTTTCTTTCTTTCTTTCTTTCTTTCTTTCCTTCTCTTTCTTTCTTTCTTTCTCTTTTTTCTTTCTTTCTCTCTCTCTCTTTCTTTCTTTCTTTTTTTCTCTTTCTTCTTTCTTTCTTTCTATTATGCATTTATGTATTTATTTCTCTTAACCTCTTCTTGGATACCAAGGAAACACATTTACTGACACATATAAATAGAAATGGCTCCAGGCACAATTTGATTCAAATTTCAGGCGACATTACTAGATCAATATGTTGGTTCTCCATTGGCCCTGTTGTCAGGCTCTGACCAGTTGCCCTACTGGCTTCAGGCTAAGAGCGTGACGAAAGTCCAGAACATAAGTCCAGTTCTTATGTTCTGAAGATAAACCCAGTTCCTATCTTGTAGATCTCACTCAAATTCTAGAAGTCATTCTCTGACCTTGGCTTAAATTGTGACATTTCCATCCTTTGTTGAAGAAAGTTAGAAGATTGATTTTCTGTTGAAATATCAAACTTATGATTATGACCTTATTGCAGAGACTGCTAGTTGTTGCCCAATAACTACTTTCAGTTTCTTTCTTAGTAATAGGATCCTGATTTTTGCTGGACATAACAAATAAACACCAAAATTTTTAGAGTCCCTTGTGGCTAGGTGAGTACAGGTGACTCAGTGGTAGCCGATAGATTGTTGTGATTTCCGATAAGTATTCTTTAAAGAAATGCACATTCTTCTTCATGCTTGTTTCCTTTTTTTAGGCTAAAATGCATATGTTGAAATGTATATGTGTTGGTTGAGTTCAAGTAGGCTCTTTTGACATGATGTATGGGGAGGATCACAAGACAATGTTAGCAAAGAAATCTGAAAAACCCTGATGATTATAAAACTTTCATATTAGATTTAGACTGGTTTGGATTACATAAGAAATATACATTTCTATCTTGCTTAAGGTACTGTTATTTTGAGTTTTCTATTATACTACTCATAATTGAACCAAATCTTTGTTAAGATAATTCCAAACTATCGATGTTGTATAAGATCCATGTCATGAATATTGGACAGCTATTAACATTAAGAACCAAAATAAATCAAATTTTACTAATACTTAAAAAAATTTGGTTTTGTTCTATCCTGTATTTTATTGCATATTTCTTTAGATATCCTATTTTTCTCTATATTCATGTTTTGATTATAATGTTTAGTTGAATATTTTCTTAAATTTTAACATTTAATTGTTTATTAAGATTACTTAGTATTATAATTATTCAGGTTTTTAGAAAGTAGTTTATCATGGTGTAATTTGAGAGGTGCCGGATTGATTATCAAACTTCATATACATTTTTGGCTGTCATGGCGAGTGTGCTGAAGAAGACCGCTGGCCTTGCGGTATGCAAGAGTCCACATGAGAAGCCAAGAATATTGTACACAAATATTCTTGATGTTCTTGAGCAAATCCCTAAAAATGCAGCATATAGAAAGTATACATAACAGATTACTAATGAGAAGCTGGCTATGATCAAAGTGGAATCAGATGTTCAAAAATTGGAAGACCAACTTGAAGGTGGCCAAATAGGAGAGATGATTCTCCTGGGTAAAAATGAACTAAGTCTGGCAAGACAAATGATGCAGTGGAAAACATGGAAGCCATTAGTGGAAGAGCCTCCTGCCCATCAGTGGAAATGGCCAATATAATTATTGAATGGCTTTGGTGGGTTGATGGGAAATTGATGTAATTTAAATATTCTGTTATATTAAGAGTATGTCCATATTATTGACATTTTACAATCAAGAAAAGTGATATAGAAAATGTTTAGGAGACTGTTAAAATTAGTGATTATGGCAATATGGTCTTGTGAATCCATTTTTGATTTGTAAATATTCACACAAATTATTTCAAAGATGATATTTCTTTGAACAGAGGGGTCATGGGAAGATTTTAAAATTAATTTAAATAATTCTGAAAGATCTTCAATGTAGAGGGCATAATCAAAAAGTAAAGTTTTTTGGTAGTATGTTCAGTACATCATTTCATTTTAAAAATTACCTTGAAGAAGAAAAGGTCCTTAATTATTATTTTCCAAAAAATTATAGATCACTATTTGAATATTTTCAAATGTGATAAAATAGCACAAGTGGCTGGTGATAAAATTTGAAATTGTGGTTAACCGCCTTGGCTTTGATCTTACATATGTAAAGTAAAATTTAAATATATAATTATATACTGATTATAAAATTAATAATAAATATCATTTTATTTTAGTCATTATTAGAATTATACCATTTACTCAGTTTTTATATAGTCTTAATTTTATTATATTTTGTTGTTACTATATTTGAAAACTATCAAATTAGAATACATTGTACAATTGAAGAAATTGATTTGGTGCTTAAAAAAAAGATTTCCCATTGCATAGAGGTAGTTGGAAAAACTTTTCATTTTGTTGCAGTTATGGAAATCACTTTTCTAGCCTGTGGCCTTTAATTTTCTAAATCAACCTAATTACATAAGGATAGAGGCAGAATTTTTGTAGTAGGGACGTTAAGAGTTTCTGAAGTTTATCTGGCATATGAATAGGCTTATGTTTAAAACATCATAGTCATATGACTATAAAGTGGAATATGGCAACACAATAATAGTGGGGGACTTTAATACTTTAATACTCCACTGACAGCACTAGACAGATCATCAAGACAGCAAGTCAACAAAGAAACAATGAACTTAAACTATATCCTACAACAAATGGACTTAACAAATATTTACGGAACATTCTATCCAACAACTGCAGAATATACATTTTATTAATCAGCACATGGAACATTCCCCAAGATAGACCATATGATAGGCCACAAAACAAGTCTCAACAAATTTAAGAAAATCTAAATTATAAGCAAGCACTCTCTCAGACTACAATGGAATAAAATTGGAAATCAATTCCAAAGGGACCCTAAAAACCATCCAAATACATGGAAATTAAATAACCTACTCCTGAATAATCACTGGGTCAACAATAAAATCAAGATGGAAATTTAAAAATTCTTTGAACTGAATGATAATAGTGACACAACCTATCAAAATATCTGGGATACAGCAAAGGTGGTGCTAAGAGAAAAAGTCATAGCATTAAATGCCTACATCAAAAAGTCTGAAAGAGCACAAATAGACAATCTAAGGTCACACTCTATGGAGCTAGAGAAACAAAGACCAGTTAAACCAAAACCCAAAAGAAGGAAAGAAATATCCAAGGTCAGAGCAGAACTGCTACAAATAAAATCAAAACAAAAAATATAAAAAAAAAATGAATCAAAAAGCTGGTTCTTTGAAAAGAGAAATAAAATTGATAGACCATTGGTGAGATTAACCAAGAAAATAAGAGAGAAGATCTAAATAAACTTAATTAGAAACAAAATGGGAGAAATTACAACAGATAGCACAGAAATACAAAAGATTATTCAAGGCTACTATGAACACCTTTATGTACATAAACTAAAAAGCCTAGAGGAGATGGATAAACTCCTAGAAATAAATAACCCTTCTAGATTAAACAAGGAAGGTATAGAATCTCTGAAAAGACCAAACAAGCAGTGAGATTGGAATGGTAATAAAAAAATTTGCCAACAAAAAAAAAAGTCCAGGACCAGATGGATTCACACCTGAATTCTGTCAGACATTCAAAGAATTGGTACCAATCCTATCGACATTATTCCACAAAATAGAGAAAGAAGACATCCTCCCTAAATCATTCTATGAAGCCAGTATCACCCTAATACCAAAACCAGGGAAGGGCCTAACAAAAAAACAAACAAACAAAAAAAAAACAGACCAATATCCCTGATGAAAATAGATGCAAAATTCCTCAACAAAATACTAGGAAACTGAATCCAACAGCACATCAAAAAGATAAGCCACCATTATCAAGCAGGTTTCATACCAGTGATGCAGGGATGGTTTAACATATGTAATCAATAAATGTGATACACCACATAAACAGAATTACAAATGAAAATCACATGATCATGTCAATAGATGCAGAAAAAGCATTTCACAAAATCCAGCATCACTTTATGATTAAAACCCTCAGCATAATTGGCATAGAAGGAATATACCTTAAGGTAATAAAAGCCGTCTATGACAAACCAACAGCCAATATTGTACTGAATGGGGAAAAGTTGGAAGCATTCCTCTTGAGAGCTAGAACAAGACCAACATGCCCAGTTTCACCACTTCTATTCAACATAGTACTGGAAATCCTGGCCAGAGCAATCAGACAAGAGAAAGAAATAAAGTGCATCCAAATTGGTAAAGAGGAAGTCAAACTGTTGCTGTTTGCTGATAATATGACCGTAAACCTAGAAAACCCTAAAGACTCATCCAAAAAGTTCCTAGAACTGACAAATGAATTCAACAGTTTCAGGATAGAAAATTAACGTACACAAATCAGTAGCTCTGCTGTACATCAGCAGCGATCAAGCTGAGAATCAAATCAAGAACTCAACCCCTTTTACAATAGCTACAAAAAATAAAATAAAATACTTAGGAATATACTTAACCCAAGATGTGAAAGACCTCTACAAGGAAAACTGCAAAACACTGCTGAAAGAATTAATAGAAAACACAAGCAAATGGAAACACATCCCATGCTTGTGGATGGGTAGAATCAATATTGTAAAAATGACCACATTGCCAAAAGAAATCTACAAATTCAATGCAATTCCCATCAAACTACCACCATCACTCTTCACAGAAATAGAAAACACAAACCTAAAATTCACCTGGAGACCCAAAAAAGCCTACATAGCCAAAGCAAGACTAAGAAAAAAGAATAAATCTGGAGGCATCATATTACTCAACTTCAAACTATGCTATAAGGCCTTAGTCACCAAAACAGCATGGTTCTGTTATAAGAGTAGGCACATAGACCAATGGCACAGATAGAGAACCTAGAAATAAAGCCAAATATTTATAGCCAACTGATTTTGACAAAGCAAACAAAAACATAAAGTGGGGAAAGGACTCCCCATTCAACAAATGCTGCTGGGATAATTGGCAAGCCACATGTAGAAAAATGAAACTGGATCCACATCTCTTACCTAATACAAAAATAGACTCAAGTTGGATCAAAGACTTAAATCTAAGACCTGAAACCATAAAGATTCTAGAAGATAACATTGGAAAAACCCTTCCAGACATTGGCTTTGGCAAATACTTCATGACCAAGAAACCAAAAGCAAACACAACAAAAACAAAGATAAGTAGGTGAGACTTAATTAAACTAAAATGCTCTTGCACAACAAAAGAAATAATCATCAGAGTTAACATACAACCCACAGAATGGGAAAAAGTCTTCAAAATCTATACATCTGACAAAGGACTAATGTCCAGAATCTACCAAGTACTCAAACAAATCAGCAAGAAAAAAGCAATCCCATCAAAAAGTGGGTTAAGGACATGAAAAGACAATTCTCAAAAGAAAGTATACAAATGGCCAGCAGCATATGGAAAACTGCTCAACATCACTAATTATTAGGGAAATGCAATTCAAAACCACAATGTGATATCACCTTACTCCTGCAAGAATGGCCATAATAAAAAAATAATAAATTTTGCCTTGGATGTGGTGAAAGGGGAATACTTTTACACTGTTGATGGGAATGTAAACTAGTACAACCACTATGGAAAGCAGTGTGGAGATTCTTTAAAAAACCAAAAGTGGAACTACCATTTAATCTAGCATCCCTCTACCCAGAGGAAAAGTATTCATTATACAAAAAATGTATATATTTGTACATGCATATATAGCAGCCCAATTTGCAATTGTAAAAATATGGGACCAGCCCAAATGACCATTGATTAATGAGTGAATAAAGAAAATTGGTATATAGATATCATGGAATACTATTCAGCCATAAAAAGGAATGAAATAGTGGCATTCTCAGCAACGTGGATGGAATTGGAGACTATTATACTATGTGATGTAACTAGGGAATGGAAAACCAAACATCGTGTATTCTCACTCATAAGTGCGAGCTAAGCTATGAGGACTCAAAGGCATAAGAATGAAACAATGAACTTTGGGGGTTCAGGAGAAAGAGTGGGAGGGGAATGATGGACAAAAGACTACACATTGGGTACAGGGTACACTGCTTGAGTAATGGGTGCCCCAAAATCACAGATATCACTGCTAAGGGACTTATTTATGTAACTAATACCACCTGCACCCTAAAAACCTATTGAAATATAAAATCAATTAAAAAACACAAAACTTTGTAAACATTTTCGGTTTAGTATTTATTACTACCATCTTGGCAATTATTAAATCAATGCCAACGTTCCTCCCTGGACACGAGGTTTCACTGGTTCTATAACGATGTAGCCATATCTAATCTTTTATACCTTAGTACTTTTGATAATATCATGGTTATCTATAAAAATACGAGTCAAATAAAGCTCTGAGTGAATGCGTACTTGTAAATAAAATTTTAAAATGCAGAAATTTAATTCTATTTGAAGGAGAAAACAGATCCAAGTATACATGTAATCAGACCAAAGTGAAATAACTTTTGTCTTCCACTTAAAAAAGAATTAAGGAAGAAGGCAGGATTAAGAGTTGTCTCAGTAAGCCAGTGTTAAATAAGCTTAGAGGAATTCATTTTTTAAGAAAGAAAGGATAAAGAAATCCTGGAGAATTGAAGGGAAGAAAAGAGATGAATTAACCCAACAACATGGAGAAGGAGTTCACAAAGTGTACAGCAAAGACAATGTTGAGAGTGAATAAGATATATCTCTGTAAAGGGAACATGAAAATTAAGAGGAAAAGGAATCATTTTGAATTAGATAATCAAGTTGGGAGGCAGCTGCAGCAGTCCATACATAACCTGTAAGAATGGAAGTAAACAGTAGATTGGAAAGAGATTAGGAACTATTTAACAGAAAATTTAATAAGAATCTAGATCTGTATTTATAGCTAGTGAAGGGTTAAAAATCTCATCAACATGGTTTATTAAGGAAGAATGAGTTACTGGGATGAGGAACTTTAGAAGAAAAAAATAGCAGAAGAGAAAGGAGCAGTTTTGTCTTTATTAAGTTGGTAATGAGATAGTTGCAAATACCCTCAGTTACATCAACAAGGGAAATTCAGAGGTGGATAAACATTCTGGGGTGAACACATCACTTGAGAGCAATAGGGTTTCATGAAATTTAAATGTTTTAACACTCTAGTCAAATACTATGACTCTTCTGATTCTTGAAGAGAGTAGAAAACATACATTATGATGAAATGATTTCAAATCACTGAGTATTTGCACAATTAATTTTAAGCATAACAAATAATATTGAATAAAGATATTCCTTTTAAACATTTTTTCTCCAGGAAATGGGTTTTAATTTTAATTTGTATTACAATGTGGAAAAATAGTTGTACTACTGTAAAAATGATGAAAGGAAAATGTTTCAAACTATACATTTGTGGGAAGGGATGATTTAATATGAAAAGGATAATAGTGCATTGGGCTGAGCCACATTGATAACAGTATTCACACCAACCCATGGCAATGATGGAAGTGTGCATTTTGTCAGTGTGTGAGGCACAACAATGATCAGCCTCTGCCAAGTAGCTTATGGTTTCTAACCCTAAAAATGAATTCTAGAACTGTCATCAATGGAAAGTTGAATGCTTGCTTACAAAAATATTCATTTGTTACACATATGAATTCTGTTAGGTTCCCTAGAATGTGGAGGTATTAGAGATATGTTTTTTTTTTTTTCCAGGTGGTAGAGTTTTATTTCAGTTCTGGCATAGTCCAGGTGTTTCTCTTGCATGCCTGTGAACATGCATAAGGGGTCAATGAATCCAGACATATATTAGAGTGCAAATATTTTTTGAATTATTGCTTTGAATTTTTGTCAAATGTTTTGTATTAGGAATAATATAAAATATGATTTTTAATACATATATATTTTTATCCCCATGTGAATACTTCATGGAAAATTTAATTAGGTTTATATTAGAATATATACACACATATATATGTGTGTGTAGTGTGCATGTATAAAATTAGTGCTGTTCAGTAGCTGAAAATCTTTTGGAACCTCTTTAAGATAGTCAAGGAAATAAAAAATAAAAAGGGTATGGCTTATTTTTCTAAGTAATTCAGATTTATGAAAGCCCAAGCTCTTATTGCAGTTATGCCACCCACTTCTAGAAATTAAGTTTATTCTTTTTCTTACTTGCTTTCAGGAGTAGAAGCTAGAAAAGTATTCAAGTATGCAAGTATTGATCATAGATATGTTGGGAAAGAAAATGAAATAATGGATTTATTGAATAATTCTGCACTATTTTATTAAAAACTAAGAGGCACTTCTATAGTGCTATACAGAATTTAAAGTAGTTTTTTTACACAGTATCACATTTGAATTCTCATAAAAATCAGTTATAATCTTTCCAAATTTGTGCCTCTGTTAAAGTAGTATATACAGTTATTTATGGTATGCATATTGACTAGCCTCATTTTTTTTTTTTTTAAATTGTAGTTTAAGTTCTGGGCTACATGTGCAGAATGTGCAGGCTTGTTACATAGGTATACATGTGCCATGATGGTTTGCTGCGCCCATCAACCCGTCATCTACATTAGGTATTTCTCCCAGTGCTATCCCTCTCCCCCAGACCCCCTCAAGGACCTAGAACTAGAAATACCATTTGACCCAGCCATCCCATTACTGGGCATATACCCAAAGGATTGGCCTCATTCTTGGCTTCCTTTTATGTATTGATTTATAAATTCTTTATTCTTTTTCCCTCTAAATTGTATTATCTTCTCTAATTGTGTGTTCTTAAAAGTTTGCTTAATATTTTCATTATTAAATTAAGGAAAATATTTAATTGAAGTGTTTAGTTTTATTCCAATTAAATATAGGAAATAAAAGTGATAATGCAATTTTACATTAAAAAATCACCTAGATTTAAAATGGTTGTCTACTTTTGCCTATATGCTAATGTAACTAAGGTCTAATGTTAGACAACTAGTTTTTTCACCACAGTTTCTTCACACTTCTTTGTTCTATGAGGTTATCTTTGTTATCCTACGCACAAATTAATGCATTCTTCAAAACCAGTTTAGAGGCCGGGAGCGGTGGCTCACGCCTGTAATCCCAGCACTTTGGGAGGCCAAGGTGGTTGGATCACCTGAGTTCAGGAGTTCGGGACCAGCCTGCCCAACATGGCAAAACTCTGTCTCTACTAAAAATACAAAAACTAGCCAGGCATGGTGGCACAAGCTTGTAATCCCAGCTACTTGTGAGGCTGAGGCAGGAGAATCGCCTGAACCTGGGAGGCAGAAGTTGCAGTGAGCCAAGATCACACCATTGCACTCCAGCCTGGCAACAAGAGTGAAACTCCGTCTCAAAAAACAAAAAAACAAAAAAACAGAAAAACCCAAAAACAACAAAAAACCAATTTAGAGACTGAAAGTGTCTGTAGAAAATGTTTAATAATAATGTTGCTGGGCTTTTAGAAGCCAAAGCCTTATGGAATCTTGCCATTACAGAGATCCAAGTTCATAGCCATGTAGGAAAAACCAATGCAAAAAAAAAAAGACAACTACCATCACAAAAAAAAATTTTCTCCAGCCCACTCTTGGTTCACTTTTCCTGCCTAGGGGTTCCAGGTGTCCATACTCCCTTTTGGGCCGCTCATGCTTTCTTCTCGTCTATCTATTCCTTCCTAATGCCAGCTCCAAAAAAAAAAAAAAAAAAAGTCTCTGCTGCTATTCATACATCTTTTGTTAAACTTTAAGCAAACTTGTGGAATGAAGACTCCTTTTCAAAATTTTTCTGCTTAAATAATTCCAACTACCAGTTAGCTCTTACATTTTTAGGCAAATGCCCTTTTTTGCTATTTCTGAAATCATTTTTCTATTTTTTGAATGTCTGACAGACTTGAATTCATCAACCTTCAGATTTGTAAAGCCTGAGTCCCCTACATTAAAGAAGATCACATCATCAGTAACCCAAAAGATTGAGCCAATGATTTCCAGAGTAAAGGAGAGCCATGGTCATTGTTAATCTTCAGTAGTGGTCGCTGTTCCTTACAATCCCCATTTAGGAGTCCAAAGTAATAATAGTAGTGGTAGCCAACATTCTTGAGTGCAATCTGTCAGACACTAATTTATAACTTTTTCTCAATTATTACAAAGCTTTATGATTTAGTACTCTAATGACCCTCTTTTACAGAGGAGATGGCTGATTTTCAATAATTTTCTTTAGAGAAATTTGGCACTTCTGTTTACAGTAATAGTTTCTATATTTAAATACATATTATATATACATATAGGTTGCTAGAGAGACTTATTAGTACTTTTTTTTAACTAAATGATTTGGGTCTATTCTTAGAATTTAGTTTCATCACCTGTAGCAGAGTATCTTTGAGGAAAAGAAATACATACCTTTCTTGCTGTTTCTATAGTTTAGTTGAAAACATCGCTTCTTTTGAAACCTCCTAAAGAAAGTGACAAACCAAATATTTTGAATCCTTAAATGATTTCATTGTGTTCAAATATTTATGGGCTGGTAGAAGAAGTTCTGAGAGAGCAAGAAACAAGAACTCAAGCGATGACTGGAAATTTTAGTTTCTGTGGGGTTTGAAGGTTCTGAAAGGCAGTAGCTGGGTTCACTGTCATTTACAAAAGCCCAGGAGAGCACAGACAAGATTTAAAGGGCCTTGGAGTTGAAAGAGAAAACAATCAAAGGGAAGGAGGAAAGTGGATGCTAAAAAAGGTTCACCTAAGTTTAGGGTGAGTTAGAGGAACCAGGACATGACCAGGGTGTAGGTTGTCAAGGAAAACATAACAGAAATCATGAAAACTTTTATCCAATTAGGAATTTACAAAGCACTTTATAATTATAATTCTTCATTAATGTGCTTTGAAGAAGTATAATTTGGCTTAAAAAAGGAATAACTGTTGATTAGATGAAGAGCAGAAGTAAGAAAATTAAGATCGGTTCTGGATTTCTGAAGTATTTTACCTATTTTTGACACTAGTTCAATTATTTTTTAATGAGTTTTACCAAAATAACTGTGGGGAGGGGTCATAAAAAGAAGGAGAAGAAATTCTTTTATACCTCAAAGTTCTAATAGTAAGTTTAAAATAATAACATATTTACCTTAAGCATATTATACGAGTTAAAGAAGAAGTTCCTGAAGTATTGTACGAAAGCAGCAGTTCCGGGAACTTGTTAGAAATGCAAACATTTGGGTCGCTCTAGAGTTCTTGAATCAGAAACTCTGGGGTGGGGCCAGGCCTTTTAACATATTTTCACAAGCTCTCCGGGTGATTTTGATGTATGCTGAAGCTTGAGAACCACTGAGTTAAGGTAACACTAGGTACTGTAGCAGACATATGCCCAGTCTCAGTAGTGTAAGACAATGAGTGTTAATATTTCTGCTTATGTAAGAGCTCAAGAATGGCATTGCTCCTTGAAAGGGTGTCCTCCCAGGATGCAGTCTCCCATTTTATGTCTGTCACATTTACCATGTGACTCCACATATCTTGGGAGCCATTTCCACTGCAGTCACCTTGAATGGAAACAATAATGTCGCTTCAACTAACATTTCTTTGGGTCACATTTAACTGCAAGTGAGGCTAGAAAATGCAGCCTAGCTTTGCGCCTAAATCCTGAGGAAGCCAATGTGATCAGCTAGCTCACTTTGCCAAGCATATGCTTATATATACACATATCTTTTTTTTTCACTCTAGTGTCTTTATTGAACTACATATTTTTTTTCTATTCTCATAGCTCATTTATTTGCAACATATGTTCATAGCCTGTTTACAATTCCAACATTCAACTTTGTCTTGGATACTATATCTCCTTAACAATTTTACAGTTAAAGATTAAAAACAGCCTGGTTTTTGAATTTTGTCAGTTTCAATTTTAACATAAATTCTTATGTCCATTCGTGCTATACAGTAGCCCCATGTGTCTAAATTAACTTAGTGAAAATGTTTATTTCCTCTAGAATAAATATATTTTTATTTTTATCATCTTTTATATGCCAAGAACATAAAACTGTAGCCTTGATACCCTCATATAAACTGGAATAGCAACAAACATATTTTAATAAATATTGGTCTTATTGCAAAGGATAGAAATAAACATTATCTTTAGACAACCTACCCATTGCATTAGTAATTCTCCTGTCCTGACTCTTCAAAGAGCATTATTTTCTTTTCCTTCATCTTTGGATTTCTGCCAGAAGATAAAGAGCACGAGTTATTCAACTTGGTCTTTGGAGAGATACAACCAAACTGGCAGATAATTTAATAACACTGTTTGACCTCTTTGTCATATTGATTTATTTATTTACTTATTGGAGAGGAATGTACACACTGGAATGTTCTATTTAATGAGGCTATGAAATCATCCTAGGAATGAATATACGTGTATGTGTACATTTCTCTGAAGTAGACATTCAGCTAAACTAGATACCACATTGAAGATTTGTAAAGTACTATGATTTTGTGGTTTTATTCTAAAACCTTTTACTTTGCCCACTTGAAAGTCTATAACAATAGTTTGTCTACCTTAAAGTCTGAAAATATCACTCATTATGAAGCAAAACTAATGCCTCAGATCTCTGGAATTCTTTTGGTAACTCTGTCCTGCAATTCTAATGGGCATTTGTCTTTTTTGAGAACATGCACATTTTAAAACTTGTCCCTGGATTGGATGTTTATACTCAACTGTAACTATCAATTAAAATTGATAAAACCTTATTCCTAGTTTTGTAGAGTTAAAAAATGCATGCCAAAATATTGTAGGAAGTTTTAGAAATGGGATATTTTTGTTTATTTCAAACGTTAATTCAACACAAAATACTTTTTTATGGGGAGTTCAATAATTGTTGTATTACTCAGAAAAATAAGGCATTTCTTTGAGTGTTGTAATACTAAAGCATCTATGAATATCTATTGAATAATTGTAAAAGATTATTGTCCTAACATTGGCCCTAACTGGTTTGTGTTAGACATAGTTTTGCTGCTCAGGGACAAACACATACAATGAAAATTAACAGAATGTATAATATATATTTACCATATTTAGGGTAGATTTGCCACTATTTGAGGAAATAATCTATGACCAAATAGCACACTATGTGTGTGATATCTACTATCATTTTGTAGGTTTTCACTTTTAGGACTATCTCTCCAGATATGGTTTATTACTTCCTGAATATTCTCCTTCCAATTTAAGTAAGCTGCCACTAGTTGAGCAGTGAATATAACGTTAGAATTTTGAGTTATTAAGATGATGTTTCTTGCGTATTTGGTCAATTGTAATGGAGAATTCAAACCGGGTCTGTACATAAAGACAATTCTTACATTATGCTTTCCCCTTTATTTTTCTCAATGTAGATATTTATTGTGTAAAGCAAATCATAGCTTACCTTTGTTTTCTGTACTTCAAGTAAGGCATATATTTTGTTTGTATTTTCCTCAGTAGTTGCTCACTTCCTTAAGTCTCCAGAGCATGACCTAATTCGTCTCCTCTCCAAAGGAAGTTTGGAACTCCAAAGGAAGTTTGTCTAATTTGTGAATGTCACTTTAGCTTTTCCCACTCTCATTTTGACTCACAACAGATGCTATAAACTTCTCCAGTCTTTCTGTTTTCCTGCTTATCAGTAAGTATAACTGTTTATCAGTGAGCAATTCCTGCTCATCAGTAAGCATAAGATAGCAGACAAAAATCCTTGTGTTTCACGTATCTTGTGCTATTTTTACAATGTTCTAGTGAAATAATACTTCTCCCTTTTTGTACCATTTCACAGATGAGTATCTTGAAGGACAGAGATATAAAGTAACAGGTCCAGGGAAAGTATAAATAATGAGGACGGAGATCAAAACTCCTAATTCTCAAGGCAGGTTTCTATTTTAGTTAGAACTTGTAGCTTCTTCATCAGGTTACATCTGACCTTTTCCTGCCCATTATTTTTAAGTTATTTAGAACGGTTGTGAATTTCAATTCTAAAAAAAAAACACTGTAAATTTTTATAAGTTTTTGAATAGAAGAATTTCAGATAAAGGAGAAAATGAGAATAATAATCTAGACTTTGAAAGATAGAAGATTCTCAAAAAAGGAAATTGGCGCCATTTGTGAAGTATGATGCCCAGAAGAGAATTAGAGACAGATTTTAAGCTCTGTATATAGTGGAAAGTATTGACAGTAATTAGCCAACATTTCTTCAATATTGTTTAGAATAGCAGTATTGGACATTTGAAGCAAAATCTTTAAGTGCTCCTCAAAGCTTATGGTATTGTGGAATACTCAAATTTCAGTTGCAAGCTTTTTTCCCCTAACTTGTTTTTAACTTGTCAAGAAATCAGCCACAGGCAATAGATGTATTTTTGGAAAATTAAAGATTCACTCTAACTTTGTTTATGAATTTCAAGTCCTACCAACACATATTTGAAACTTTCATATTACTTTACACTTTGTTGAACGCACACCAGTTAATTTTAAAAGAGAGAAATGAAAAACTGCTTTCCCAGTAGATTCTGCAAAACATCAAGTTTGGAGTAGATATGCAAAATTAAATATAGGATTTTAGTAGTTTAAAATATCTTTTGGTACAAAAGAGGGAATAAATGTGCTCATTGAAAGTATATTTAAGTTGCCATTTGACTGAATTTATTTATAAGAAATTGAGCTTTTTATGTTCAACACAAATTTGGAACTCCTAAACATCATGAGAGAGGAGTAAGTGGGGATGCTGATTACAAAATGAAATCAAAAAGTAATGTGATGATCTGATTATATCATCATAAAGTTACGCATGAAACTGAAAAGCGTATACCTCTTACTGAGGCCAGTACAGATATTTTTGCATTTTGATTGTGTTATGTTAGTTATTTTGAAAGAAAAATGACATATATATATATATATAGTTTCACATATCTACTCCAACAATATTTTGTAGGATCTAGTAGGAAAGCATTTTATATATTATATAAATATGAAGTCTTGGTGGTGACCAAGCTTCACTGATACAAATCGTTTGTCTCAATATTTTTGTCTTATGAAAGTAATTAACCAGAAAAAAAATATTAATTTCAAAATAGGTAAATATTTCCAACCTCTTGTCCTTGATAATCACTTTAGAAGCATACATTGTAGCCTCTTTGTGTTCTGAGAGCAATGATTTGTAGTATAATTATCTGACAATTCTTACTTCAAAAGTCCTCTTGGAGATAACTATGTCTAGTTAATTTAGTCTTTCATTAGTGTAACTTTCATTAATTTCTACTTATTTTACTCTCTAGATGCCAAATCTAGAAACAGAAGCCTTTTAAGTTCTGATACTTAAAAGCTTCTGACTGAAAAGTTATTTTATGAGCCAGAAAAAATAAAACTTAGAAAAAGAGTGAAACTCTCTGCACTTTGAAAATTGATGCCTCCTAGTTCTCAGAATGAAGCGAGTAGCAGGTAGTGACTACATTTTTGAGCACATTTATAAAATTACACTTATTTCTAGCACCTAGACATATGAGCTAGAAATTTTGTGAAGTTGTACACACTTGCATCACTATTTGTTTGAGATGTTTTGACTTCCTAAGAGTCAGTTAGATGCACATTCAAATATATGTACAAAAACAATTAAAAAGTCATATATAAATAGAAATGTCTCATTTACTTCTCTCCATCTGTAAGGTAACTGATAATTGTTGCCACGGCTGCACTTACGGCAAGACTGGACCAGTGCTTTATAATTATTTCTGAAGAGATAGAATTTCATATTTTAACCTTTTTATTGAATTATTTCAAGGACTTGCTTACATGATTCAACTTGTCTATCTGCAAAATGGGACAGATGAGATATTTCATGGCTACTTCACCCAAGACGTTATGCAGTGGGTATTTGAATGATCCACTCATAGGTCAATTATTATTGAGTAATTCATATAAATTCATGTACATCACTAGGGTTTATATTAATAACGGAGTCATAGCCCAATGACATGAAAGAATAATTTAGAGACTTAAAAAAAACCTGCTGTTTCTCCAGAGAGCAGTTTTCTCTCTCTCTGGAGAGCAAATTCTCTCTAGCATTTCAGATTTTATATAAAGTATTTCTTAGAATACATATTAGGGAACATGAGACAGGGGTAGGGAGGTTGGATAGATAGGTGACCACAAACTTATCAGTGACACACAAGAATAAAGGAGTTTAGTCACTTTCACATGTATTTCTACTAGGTTGATGCAAAAGCAATTGTGGTTTTTGCCGTTAAAAGTAATGGCAACCTATTTCACAAATAGTATGTGTGTATATGTGTGTGTGTGTGTGTATGTGTGTACACTATTTTGTCACTAACTGTACATTTGGTCAGGTAATATTTGCCCTTTTAATAACAGAATAAAAAGAACTCATCAATTTGAAAATGTATTGCAAAAGTGGTACAATGCTTCTAAATGTGTATGGAGCGATGAGTGCTGGAGGAAGGCCAGCTGCCAAGTAGGTGGCTTTTCGATGGTCTCTAATTTTTGCATTACATAATTCAAAGCTACTTGTGGCAAAGTATGAGATTCAGGAGGAGAGGGAAGACAATTTACCGATTATTTTTTTTTAAATATTTTACAAAGTCAAGTAATTTATCCATCCCTTTACTATTACAATTTTGTGGACATTGCATTATATTAACATCTCTAAATAAATTAACCACTAAAATAAAACAAAATTTCATGACATTTGAATGGGTTTTCTTGTTGCTAAAGCAATAAGCTTCACTGACACAAATCTGAGTGTAACATATGGTCTCAGCCTTAGGCCAGGGTGTTCCATTTGAATTATTCCAGGCTTTTCCTTACAGTGCTGTGCTTCAAACATGAATCCAATTACCAACTGCAGTCAGGCAATTGAAAGGCTGCAGGAGAAATACTCTAATAGATGGGGAGGGGGGTAAAGGACTGTGATTTGTGTGGTAATCAGCAAGAGAAGGTCAATTGTAATAGAATAGACTGGTTTCCAAGACAGAGCTAATGTAGGATGCCTTCCACTCCACGGAGGGATGCTATCAATAGATTTGTTGTTTTCATTACCAAGAATGTCACTTACTGACAAGATGAATAAAGAAAGTGTGAGAAGGCCAGTTGATGGATCAGGTGATTAAAACCTAGGCTGTGGTGAGCAATTAGCAAACTGATGACCTATTTGAGGACTGGAAATGAGAGGTTAAAAGAAAGGAGCTATGCAAATGTATACCTGAAAAGAACAGTTTTGTGTTAAGATTTATGGTCAAACTCTAGGATTTGCAATAGGAAGCTTGAATAAATGTACACCTCTCCAAAATGCAACACTAATTCTTTTTCTCTAAATTATTGAACTTCTTCTCTATAGCGAAAATAGAAAAAAAAAGAATGCCTACTGAGCATACCACCCATATTATTTTTTAACAATTTAATTCCTTAAACTGCTATAAAATGAGATCTTGCAAGCCCCAACAACAAAAGGATACATTTCGTTTATCTCTATTTTTCTTTAAAGAGTCAGTCACATAGTCAGAGAATTCTTCCTATGAATTATAATAATAGCAAAAAAATGGCGTGATGAATCTAATAATCCAAAATATTTTTCACCTGAAATATTAAATATATGTTTTAATAATTATAAATTCTAGGCCCAAGGAATAATGTATTCAAAGCTAATCTTATTCAAGTTCCTGTCTCCACTTTTTGGTGCTAACCCACCAGACTATTACACAATAGAGTATTTCCTATTTTAAGTTTGCTTAAAGATTCCACTTCCTCTGCCTCTCAATTAACAAATATGTAGTGATGCACTTTGCTGCAAGTTGTCAGGATAGCAACAGATCACCTTCAACTACTACACATAAATTGGTATAGAAAATCATAGAGAAAATATAAAGCCTTATAATTTAAATAATATTGTAGTTTTAAAATGTTTACTTTATTAAATAAGGCAAGAAAAAATATATTTCTTGTACAGCATACCTTTGTGGTTGTGACTTCACAAGAGTATTCAAATTCTAAAAGAGTAAAAACTTTCAAAACAATAATAACTTCATGGAATGTGGCTCCCTTTCCCCCATTGCTAGCACTCATTTACTGCTGTTAAACCATGAAGACTCAGTCATACAGTGGATTACTTTCTGAGAATGACAAAGGAATTTGAGATGCAGCCAGTATTAAAGATCTTTTATTGGGAAGACTGATTGTTATAGGACAAAATGTGCCTGTGCAAGCTTTTTAAAATTCCAGTTAAATATAAAAAACATTTAACTAATAAAAAAAATTGTTAATAGAGCCATCCGTGGCTTTTTGGCACATCCTAAATGAAGGGAGTCTTTGGTGGTGGCCCTCACAGTGTGGAGCAGCCATCTGCTTACCATATTTGATTGCTGTTCATTCTGTAAAAGCTCTCCTGCTTCCAGCACTTATGAACGATTAGCTGTTGCCCAAGCATCTTGATGCTGCACTTTCACTGGGCAATTAGAAGACGAGAGAGTCCATGAGAGCTCGACAGGCAAAGATATGCTTTGTTAGCAGCTACATTTGAGTCAAGCTTTAAAACACTGCAAACATAAATGTGCCCCTAGGAAAAAAGGAAAGATATTTTTCAGAGTGATGTCAGAGAAAGAAAAAAAGTTATTTATGAGCGCAATCTTTTCTACTATATTCTCTACATTTTTCTGGGGCAGGACATTTTGTGGTTAGAAAAAGAAAGTTTTTAATTGCCTTTGTCACATGCTTCTCTCAGCAATTTATTTTCCCAGCAGTTAACAACTGCCTTTTATTGGTTATTTGGTGAGCATAGCGCCTGGCTCCAGTGGAGATTTTAAGTTTTAAATATTGGGCTGCTGACGAGGCTTCTTCTGTTGCTGTGAAGGGACACTGTCTGGAGTTCTTTGCCTTCTTCAAGCAATTTTATTTCTTGTTATAAATTTAAGAATATGTTCCAATTACACATTTTGAGGAGATTATTCAGTAGACTTTTACGTTCAAAGGGATTGTTTTTCTTAATAAATGGGTTAAAGAGACAAGGCTTATGTATAACTATACTTTCCTTCCCTTTCTGACCTATTTTTTTCTTGAAATCACTGGATTTGTCAACTATGGTAAAGTAGAGTTAACAAAAATGTTTGCTGTACAATAAAATTCCACATAGTTTTAATGAAATCCTGTTTTGCTTATTATTTTTTCTTATATCAACAATTCTACATAGGTGTACTCAGCTGGCTAATGCTTCCTACATATCAATCTCAACTCAAATAAATAACGAACTGTGTGCATGATTTTTTCCTAAGTGCCTGCTAATTTACTCTTTGCCAACAGAAAATATAAGATATTAAACAAATCAATGGCTATTTAAATAATAAGAAGTTAAAGACTGAAAGATGTTTTCGTTGTAGGAGTCAAAAGAGAGTTCTCAGATTTCCCTTGGGCCACTAATACACAGTCAATATTTTTGATTCATTTTTTCCCATAAGTGATTAAACTGGAGATAGTGGGCATTTCAGCTGTGACACAAATATGACAAAAAAGATCTCATCGCCCAGAAAAGAGGAGTCCACAAAGGATGATGTGTTGTACCGTGACATCAATAATGGCTGCATCTAGTTATGACAGCAAAAGAAACCAGGCTTTGTGGGTGGAACTCTCAATGAGTCCAGTGACCAATCGATAATGTTGCGCATTTGAAGTCAATTGTGCCAGCTTTATATAATAATCCTTTAGTGTTATCTATCGTAAATAAGGCTTTCATAAGTTACAGTGTAAAGTTGAAAAGCAAAAACCAAGATTGATTAGTGGTTGGACAGAAAATGTCTTGCATGTGGAAGTAATATATGTACAAAAGTGTTTTGGTAAAAATTGTGTAGAAAATTTTAATTTGAACACTTTTCCAAATGCTATTTTGATGACTTCCCCCTAGTTGTGTATGTGCACAATTAAATTTCTCCTCCAAAAACGAAAATTTAGGCTCCTTTACCTAATTTCAAGCTTTGTCACATTTTGTAGTCCTTAAAGCCAAGTGGCTTAATAATTATCATCAACTGAAATTAATCAAAACCCAGGAGTAAATTCTAATTAATTGGGCAATAACCAAAGAGGGTTTTCTCATCTATTGTCTAGGAAGTAGAGCTCGGGCGGGGAGATCACAAAGCTACTAAGTTTTATAATGAAGACTCTTCGAGAAAGACAGACTAATCCCTGAGTATTGATTACACACTGTAGGGAAAGGACTAACTGGATTAAAATTCTGAAAGTGAGGGCTTAAATTTGAAAAAGGAAGTTGCCATTATGATGTTTATTCAGGGAAATAAGAAGTCAGAGGCCAAACTTCCCAGGATATGAGTGCAGGTCTTCAAATAACAGCATTTGAGAAAGGAGGGAAAAAACAGTTCTAAAGGCCAGCACATATCAGGTGGATCAACACCTTAGAAAATTTCTGAATAATAAAAAAACGCTAATGTGAAAAGTTAGCTTCCCAAATTACTGACCGCCACTAAAAAACTGAAGCAATTCATATGAGCTCAACCTATCTCCTTCATTTTATCTCATAAGCTAAAATGTCTTCTAAATACCCTACACTTTGCTCAGCACTGGGGAAACAAGACTATATGAAATCTGATTCTGAATGCTACCATTTTGAGTCTAGCTATGGTGGCACAAAAAGAACTGAAAATATAAGGTTACATTTGAAAACTATAGTAGAAAATTCTAGAAAGTAATATATGTTAATTTATAGCAGCCACTTCAGGAAATAAAACTTGCTAATAAATTTTTTTTTTTTGAAGATTAGAACTTTCAAATACTTGGCTTCCTTTCAAGCCCTTTCATTATGTTTTGTTTGATTGGTTCTATTTTTTCTTTTTAATAGACTGTTTTCTTCTAACTTCATGATTAAAAATTGGTCACATGTGATGTTTATATCTTCTACAGTCATATGTAAATTAGTTAATAATAAAATAGAAAGAAGCTTTCTAGTTTCGATTCTCTGAATGGTAATAGCCCATTTCCACCTTTGATTTGGCTGCGGTTGATCCTTTTCTCCATCAGAGGTCATCTGTGCTGCTGTAACACTAAGTGCAGAGTTATTTATTCAGTTGTTGCATATTAGTTCCTCAGTAGTTAAAATATCTGAACAAATACAAAGTCTTACACTACATTATATTACCCTTTATTAGTGGGAAATTGAAGTCTAGAGATCAGTATTAAGCCAGTCCCTAAAATCCGCTTGTTCTGTGATAGGGACCCCAAACTGACCTCTGATGAAGTTGTATTAGGAGGATTTTACCCTTGTTACTAATTAAATAAATAGCTGTATTTGCATTATTTTTTCTTTATAGTCAAGTTATGACATCAGCCCTCTCAAAGAACTAGGGACAAAGAGAGTCAAGTTCCCATTTACGCAGGAAGAATGTATTTTGCATATTAAGGTCCTGACATTTGGCATCTAGTGTGCAGTAGCTTATTGCGATTAATATGCTGGCATATCACATGTCAAAGGGACGTTCAATGAAGGTTGAGGAGGGCAAAATGAAAGATTTATTAAAACTCAAACTTTTCAGATGTTGTTGGTTACCTGCTCTTCCTAAGGCAATTTACCTAAGGGCCCTGGAGAGCAAGAACAGTGGCTCAAAACACCACATTTTTTCAATCCTGGAGTGTGTGAATATACACTGGGAAGTATATAGAAGAATTTGATATGCTCAGCAACCTCGCGGACAACACTTGGGTAAACTTTTTTTGTTCCTCACGTATAATACATGGGTTACTTCTGCCCTATACTTTATATATATATATATTATTAAGTACCACACTATGCAAACATATTCACCCACTGAATGCAAAATGGTGATTACCATAATGATTCTGAAAATGTTCTCATTTCGGAAAGGAATTCCTATTTCTCAAGGGCACATAATTTTGCCTCTTTATATATGGCTTTTTGAATTTCCAATATAAATACATTCATTTATTTCCCCCTTGAAATTATTAATGACACTTTTGCAAGGCTAAGCTATATTTGCCACTTCATAAAAAGTCTTAATAATGTTCTTTGTTACATCACAGCTGCAGAGTAACCATGGCAACCAACATAACTAACAGAAATAGTTATTACTACGTGCCTTCAATGTCTAGAATGTGCAAGTGGTAGAAATACTATTAAAGTACATTAAAGAAAAGAGATTGTCTCAGTAGTACAAATATCTTCATTGTTGACAATGCCCTTGCAATCATTTTGTTTGAATAAATTATTATTACAATTAAAATTAAACTTGTCTAATATATCTCCATACTGAGTTATTTAAAAGCAATAAAGATCATATCAGTTGGGCTCACAGATAAGGTCAAAGATGGTCTTGTTTACTTGCTTGTACTTTGGGTTATCTTCTAACGAGTAGCAGCCAGTATTCTGGGTCTCCTGGACCCAGGAATATCATGCTCCAGGATTGCCCTAAATCCAAATCTGTCAGGTCCACTTTCTTAATTTTCTTTAGTTATAGGCCATGGTCTGATTTTTTTGAATAAAAAATTTTTGGAATAATTTTAGATTTACAGAAAAGTTACAAAGATAAGTTTTCCAAAACTCACACCCAGTTTAAATTTTCTCTGAGCTAATCATCTTATATCACAATGGCATATTTGTCAAAACTGAGAAAACATCACTGGTATCCTGTATTACTATTGAATGAACTCTATATTTTATTTAGGTTTCACCAGTTGTTACACTAATGTCCTTATATAAGAAAAATACATCTTTTCCAGAAGTTGGCATTAGACTTCTTATGGCTTACTGCGCCAAATGGCATTCATTAAACTAAAGCCATCCTTAGCAAAGAATAATGGAATTGACACTACTGGTTTAGAGACTAATCATGATTTATTCTCTGGATTTCAGAGAGGGGATCATCTTCTTTAGCATCACTGATGCACAAGTCCATCTGAATAAAACCAAAATTAAGTGAGCGAGAACCAAACGGCTGATGGTTGCTGGGCATTATGTCATAACATTATATCACAAAACTTGCATTTGCATAATATAAATGTCAAATACAGTTGACCTTTGAACACCATGGTTTTAACCATGTGGGCCCACTTATACTTGGATTTTCTTTTGTCACTATCACCCCTGGGACAGAAAGATCGGCCTTTTCTTCTCCTGCTCCTTCTCAGCCTGCTCAGTGTGAAAAAAACAAGGATGAAGGTGTTTGTGATGATTCACCACCACTTAACAAATAGTAAATATATTTTCTCTTCCTTATAATTTTCTTATTAACATTTTCTTCCCTCTAGCTTACTTTATGGTAAGAATACACTATATAATAGAGACAACATACAAAATATGTGTTAACTGACTGTTTATATTATCAGTAAGGATCCCGGTCAACAGTAGGGTATTAGTAGTTAAGTTATTGAGGAATCAAAAGTTACACATGGATTATTTACTGTGCAGGGGAGTTGGCACTCCTAACCCCTGTATCTTAAGGGTCATCTATACTCCTACTGTGGAAAAATGCTTAAGGTGTTTCTTACATTCCCAGAATATTTATTATCATTTCTGAATAATAGAAAAAATAAAGCAAAATTGTGGGCCCTACTGGCATTCTCGCCTTAGCAAAACATGCATTTATGATCCTGCTCAAGTCCATTGGTCCAGATGATGGGGTGGGTAGAAATCTCTGCTGGATATGTAGCTGCACTATTTGGGACTCAGACTGATGATAAGAAATAGAAAATGAGAATAAATCAAAGGAAGTATATTAAAATAGTGTTTTATCAAAATAAGCCTTCAAATAAATACTAACATGAATGAAGAACAATTTTCCTAATCTTTTCTTGAATTTATGTGTGTATGAACTTTTAATTTTCAGTAGTCTCAATAATTCCCCTAAATTTGAGAGCTCTACTGACTGCTTATCTGTGCTCTACAGTGCATTGTTCTGGGGCTTCATTTTTCCATCTAGAAAATTGCATGAATCATAGGATTCCTTGAAAAATCTATTATCTTTTTTTAAAGAATACATTAAAATGTACATAAAGCATCAAGGATGGGAAAAGCTCTGTCTGTGCAATTAATGTTAGACCCATTATTGAGAAATAGTTGGTCATTTCAGTCAAATTTAGTAGGAAAAAATATTCATAATTCCACATACATTATTATAATTGCCATTTTAGCTGAAATCTTAGGAATGATATATGGAATTGAAGAGAAAATGATTCTCTGTCATTGCACTTGCAGTGACTGAAGGAAATGAATCTTCATTTCTGCTGTCTGTGTTGTACCTGTAGAGTTTCCCTTTGTGGTGAATGTTTGTCTTCTTTTTCCTTTATTTTTTAAAAATACTGCCTCAAGTAAACCAAACATAGTTCACCTTAAGAGTAGAAAATCTGAAGATAAACACCCTGGGTTTATAAATCTGAATCTACCACTAGCTAGTTGAGTAATGTTGACCAACTTAACCTAACAGCTCACACCTTGGATTTTTCATCAGAAAGGTGTGGATAAGAATAATAAAAACCTATTTCTAGTTTGTTATCCTTGTAACATAATTTAATATATACTGGAATCAGTTCCTGGGACAGCATAAAAGTTATATTAGTGGTTGATATTATAATTATAATTGTCTATCTGAAAATTTTAAAAATACATTAACTTTTTTATTACAACAAAATATGTAGGAAATGCTAAAGTATAAACAAAGAAATCTGAAAGACAAGAATTCATTTGTGTCCATGTGAGGTGAAAGAACAATTCTTTCCTATTTTGCAGTAAATTATCTCGTTGTTAACATATAAGGAAACTACTGCAGAACTTTCTGTTGAGAGAAAAAGGATATTCTTTACCATATAGGACTGAATATCTTTTCTTTGTGTGACAGAGTCTCGTTCTGTCACCCAGGCTGGAATGCAGTGGTGCAGCCTCGGCTCACTGCAACTTCTGCTCCCTGGGTTCAAGTGATTCTCCTGCTTCAACCTCCAGAGTAGCTGGGATTACAGGTGTATGCCACCATGCCCGGCTAATTTTTGTATTTTTAGTAGAGATGAGGTTTCACCATGTTGGCCAGGCTGGTCTTGAACTCCTGATCTCTGGTAATCCCCACCGCCTTGGCCTCCCAAAGTGCTGGGATTACAGATGTGAGCCACTGTGTCTGGCCAGGACTGGTAATCTAAGCAGAGGATGATAGAAATACCATTAACAATGGCAGTGAAATGAAGTGGTAATGGCAACAGAAAAGGTAGCAATGCCCATCTGGTATTCTGGAAAGTGCTGTTGGAGCAAGCCGTGAGATGCTCTCTGACCACCCTTGGTCTGTGACATGTATTTTTCTTTCTCAATTTACTCAAAACCAAAGAACCATACTCTCCAATGTTGGCTGTAGTGGGCATGATGATAGTAGTGCTTAATTTTTGAGGTTCTAGTATTTCATGCTCTACCGTTGCTAATAAAATTTTAGAATGATAAAATCTAATAGTTAAGAGGATTTTTATTTAATTCGTCTTCTGAAACAATACTCTGATTTGAAATAATAGTGGAGAGAGAGCTAACTGACTCACTCTTACCCCAAGAAGACTATTCATTTGTATTTTGGAAAGAAAAAGTAATAATTTCCTATTAAATGAAAGGTAAAATGCTCAGTATCTTTAAATTTTGATATTTTATTCAATAACTATATTTTGATATTTTATTCAATAACCATATTTATTCATTAAATATGTGCATCTGCAGGTAAGCATATACATACATGCATACATAAACATATATATACACACACATCCCAAAACACATGCATTAGAATCTTTGTAGCAGCTGTATTCCTAACAGTTCCAGACTGAAAACAACATAAATACTCAGCAACAGGTGAGTGCTCAAATAAATTTTTCTATACTCATACAACTAAATAAATTTAAAAGAGCAAAATATTGTTGCACACAACAGGATGGCAGAATTTCATGAATATTTTGTTGAATAGAATAATAAACCTGACCCAAAAGGTGCATATTATCAGATTCCATCTAAGTGAGGTTTAAGAAAAGAAAGAAAAACGAATCTTTAGGACTAGAAGAATAGGGGTTACCTCAGTGGGGGAAAGAGAGAGGGTATAGACTGGAAAGGGGAGCTAGGGAACTTCATCGAATGATGGAGTGGTCCTACATCTTGATCTGTATGGTGTATGTATATAAAAATTATCAAGCTGTATCTGTAAAATTAATGACATTTATGTACTTTATAGTGTGTGTTTGTGTGTGTGTAAAATTTTTTTAAAAAAATTCCTGAATAGTTTTTAAATACAGTGAGGTAGGAAGAGGGTGGGATATCATGTTCCATTAAACAGAGCTTACGAGGTGAGCCTAGGATAGGATTGCAGATAAAACACATGACTCTTAATTAATTATGAAGTTCAGATAAAAATAAATATATTTTAGTATAAGTATGCCCACCTCCAAACATTTGTTGTTCATCTAAAATTCAAATTTGATGGGGTGTCCTGTATTTTGCTTTGCTAAGTTTGATAGCCTGAGAGGAAGCCTGGGGTCAAGTGATACTGTACTAGATGTGTTATCGCTTTGACTTCCACTATCATTACCAGACAAACCCCAATGGATTGGTTTCTCATGAGCCAAATAAAAGACTTCTTGCTAATGTTTTGCAGAAAGAAGGCTTTCATTTTTGGGGTTTAATGACTTAAGTCTGGCCTTTTCGTCTTGTAGAACCAGGGAGCAGCAAAGCCTCAAAATAGAAAAAAAAAACTTCTCTTTACAATTAAAAATTTAAATGCAGTGCTATCCATTCAAGCAGGCATTGTGGGTGTTAGTGCCATCTCTAAGCCCTGTGGGAAGAATGGGCAGTGCCAACAGATGGCCACACTCTTTTCAAGATTGATCTTGCCTTTCTGGCACCAGAATCCTACTTCAGGTTTGCCAAGAATGGTCAGCATGTTGTGTGTTAATTGCTGGCAGGGGCTACCCAATGACTTTATAGGCCCAGCTCACAGTGGGCTCTTGATTAAGGAGAGCATGCAGCTCCCAGCTCCAGCAGGACTGCCTTCAACAAAGTCATGAGACGATACACCTTTAATATTACTTGCACAGTAGGTGGAAAATAAGAGTTATTTTTGGCTCCATTCCTGTGACTATAAAGCTTGCATTGAGTGGCTTTTAAGAGACCACTTCTCCATCAAGCAGAGCGAATTAAAGTGGGCAGTGTGTAGCTAATGGGATGTTAGCATGAGCAAAGTCCAGTCATCTTTGTCAGTTTCAGGGTTGGTAAGGGAAGGAAGGCATGTGCATTACTGGACAACAATGTGGCATCATCTATTTCTCAGTAGGAGTAATTTGAGATCAGGTGTTGACAGATGGTGGTCTCCCAGGATAGCATTAGAGATTTTTCATAAGTGGAGATTAACAGGTTGTTTAAAAATACTCAAGTCTCTAGCATTTTGTGAATGAGAATTTGTGAAAAAATAAAATTATTCAACATATCTTCATAAAGAGAAGATAAATAGCAGCCCAATTCTTGCCTCAAAGAATGTCTATTCTGTAATTGTTTCTTAAAAAATAATGAAAATAATAACAGAATTTACTGCAAAAAGCCCTGTGTCAAGATGGAAGCAAGGAGAAACATTGTGCCATGATTTTAACCTACAGAAAAGTAATTGTATGTAATAGGAGTCAGGCATGTATTACATAGTTAAAATTATCTGTCGCTCGTTAACGAAAAGACCTGGCATGAATATTTTTGGAGAGACCATGTCATTCAAAAAATTCAGAATTTAATTTTTTTTTTTCTTGAGACAGAGTCTCACTCTGTCGCCCAGGCTGGAGAGTGCAGTGGTGCAATCATGGCTCAATGCAACCTCTGCCTCCTGGGTTCAAGCGATTCTCCTGCCTCAGCCTCCTGCATATCTGGGACTATGCAGGGGCTATGCCACCACACCTGGCTAGTTTTTCTATTTTTAGTATAGACAGGGTTTCACCATATTGGTCAGGCTGGTCTTGATCTCCTGACCTCATGATCTCCCCTCCTCGGCCTCCCAATGTGTTGAGATTACAGGTGTGAGCCACTTTTTTTCTGAATATATAATTTGTGTATATTTGTAATAGAACAAATAGAAGACATGGATAAAACATAGTGTATAGCTCAATATCACCCACATCAAACCATTCACAAGTGACTGTGCTTTGTGAATTTCCTTCAGGTTAAAGTGTTTGCATTAATGAATTTTTTTGTCTTTTTTTTTTTTTGAGACGGACTTTCGCTCTTGCTGCCCAGGTTGGAGTGCAATGGCGCAATCTTGGCTCACTTCAACCTCTGCCCCCTGGGTTCAACCGATTCTCCTGCCTTTGCCTCCTGAGTAGCTGGGATTACAGACATGTGCCACCACACCCGGCTAATTTGTATTTTTAGTAGAGACAGGGATTTCTCCATATTGATCAGGGTGGTCTCAAACTCCTGGCCCTGTGATCTGCCACCTCAGCCTCCCAAAGTGTTGGTATTACACGAGTGAGCCACCATACCCAGCCTACAATGATGAATTTATACTAAATGTATATGATTCCATTACGCCTCAAAGAATAAACTCCAAGTATTCACAGCACTCTACAGAATTTAACATCTAGAATTTAATATTACATTACACCTATAATGAAAGTTCTTATTTTACTTTTCTGATTTCATTAGTAAAGAAGAGCCATACAACAGCATTGAGGAAATATTATTTCATACACATCAGCAACACTGTTTACGTATATTTTAACTTTGTATTCTCTGAGGTATATACTATTAATTCTTAGAGACTGACAAATAACAGGCCCTCAGTAAGTATTTGGTGAACTGGATTTATCTCAGCTTTCACTCATCATATAAGGCCTGCTGTTTGCAACTCTATCAACTATCTATCTACTATCAATCATCTATTCAAAGACGAAACCAGGTTGATTTCTTAAATATTCCTTCATTCTCATTCACCACATTCAGTTTTCACCAAATTTAGGTGCTTCTCTTCTGTATATTGTTCTTGAATATATTTAGATCCCCTCCTACTCTTTGGCATTACCTTAGAAATGCCAAGACTTTGATAACTCTTAGCTGGAACTGCTGCATCATTAAAAAGATGTTTTTCCTGCCTCCAGACTCCAATCTCTCCAGATTTGCCATGGACAGATGCACATACACATATGTACTCTATTATCAGAGCTTTTTTCTTCATATACAAATCTTAATATGTAAGTTCCCTCCTAGAACTCATACATAATTCTGTTTGCCAGTAACATAATGTCCAGACTCCTCAAGAAGACATTCAAGATCTTGAGAATCTGCCCCATCTTCACCTCCTGCCTTTTCCTGCTTCGCTGAGCGCTCCCTGGACTTTGTGAACTTGTGCTGCTTGCGACATTCCTTCTGCCTGGGGTGGTCCTTCATTCTGAGTTCACTCATGTCCACTTAGGTTGCAGAACACAGCCCAGCTGTTACCTTGGTGTAAAACTTTTTTAATTTTATAAGATCTAACAAATCAACTGCCTCACCCGTGATTATAACACTCATAAAGGGTTAATCTTCACAGAGATTTTGATATCTAGAAGTGATTGAAAATTATAAAATATTGACGATTGTCTTTAAATAATTTATCATAGGGCTAGACAACAATGGTAGTTTACATAGAATAGGTAATTAAAGGTAGAACAGAGTACTACTGTTATAGGATTTGTTAAATAATTTTTAGCAAGCAATTGTTTCTGGTAGTGGAGTATATGGGTACCTGGACTAATGTTACCACTAAAAGCAACTAAGCATGCAGGATAAAATATTTTTAAAAATTTATCTCATATGCATGGCTGAGCAATATGAATATCTAAGTGGGAAAATAGAAATTAAATTTCTACCTCATATCAAACACATAAATCAATCTAAGTAGAATATATATCTAAATGTGAAAAGCACAACTTTAAAACTTTTCCAAGACATATTGAAGGATATTTTTGTACTCAGGGTGGAAAAAGAATTTTTAAATCCAAACAGCATGGAGCAAATGGAAAATTATGATAAATCCGAGTATATTAGAATTACAACCTTCTATCCATCAAAAGATACCCTTAAACAGGGAGAATGGGCCGGGCGCGGTGGCTCACGCCTGTAATCCCAGCACTTTGGGAGGCCGAGGCGGGCGGATCACGAGGTCAGGAGATCGAGACCATCCTGGCTAACACGGTGAAACCCCGTCTCTACTAAAAATACAAAAAATTAGCCGGGCGTGGTGGCGGGCGCCTGTAGTCCCAGCTACTCGGGAGGCTGAGGCAGGAGAATGGCGTGAACCCGGGAGGCGGAGCTTGCAGTGAGCCGAGATCGCGCCACTGCACTCCAGCCTGGGCGACAGAGCGAGACTCCGTCTCAAAAAAAAAAAAAAAAAAAAAAAAAAAAAACAGGGAGAATGATGAGGAATGCCTAGGGAGAGGTTTTGCCTAGATATATAACTCAAAATTTAGTACTTAGAGGCTATAAAGAATCAAACATAGAAATAAGAAAAAGATAATTACCCAAAAGCACAATTGACAAAAAAATATGTGTCCTGGGAATGTAAAGAAGAAGAAACATAACAGTGATTAATAACACCCCCCCCCACACACACACACAGGGATACTTAATCAGAGTTCAAATCACACAGACTGGCAAGCATTGTAAAGTCCAATAATATCACATGTTAGCAGTGATATAAAACAAAACTGTATTTTGCTGAAGACTAATGGGAAGAAAGTTAACTAGAATGACCATACTGGAGAGAATTTAACAGAACATATCTTATATGAGATTGACATAACCATTGTCTCAGAAATTTAAATTCTTATAATGTACACAAGAGAAACTCTTGCACATGTACATAAGGAGATATGTACCAGGATGTTCATGGAAACATTTTTATACTATGTGTATAATACAGCACTAAAAGTTAATGAACTGGAGCAATTTGTGTTATTATCTCCAAAATATAGTATTGAGTTAAAAATATGCAGTAGGAAATATCCAATGAGATATCATTTATACAAAATATAAAGTAGGGCAAACAACATCATATATTATTTGGAACAAAGTTAAATTTAACTTGGAGATATGCTTGGGAGTGGACCTAAAATAAATTTTCAGGATTGTGGCTGCGTTAACCATTAATGGAAGCGTAAACAATTTTTATAATGCTTTTTGTGAAGCTAGTTGACAGGGAAATCACTTTTTGTTATATCTTTTTTCTATGTTAGAAATTTTTTTAATCAAATTCAAAGCATGTGTATTTTGTTGAGGCAACAGCAATGAAGCTCTGGTTCAGTGAATACTAACAATAAAATATAGTTTGGGAGATATTACACATCACTTTTGTTTACTTTTCTAATGTTGATCCTATTTTTATAACAATTCAAATATGTTCAAAATATTTTCCTTTATATTTACTCTTCTGAAGGATGCTCGCTGATGTGCTCTTTGCAAACCAATTTGCTGAAAGAATCAATTTAATTTATTTCCATTTATGTTTCTTCAGTGATGACTTAGCCTCACGTGAAGGACTTGTAGGGATCCAAGGAGAATGTCAGTCATAGACTGATTAGCATGAACTTCTTCAAGTGATGCATAATCTTTGACAACCATAGTAGGAACTTATTCTTCCAAGAGTATCCAGAAGACAGGCGCCTATAGATGTCATCCGTCACCTCTAATTTATTAACTGACTTATAACCTGCTTTCATAGGCATTCATTATATTCTTTAACCTTGACCTTCCCTTTTACAGCTTGCTATAGTTATTTCAATAAAATGCCCTACTCACCCCTCACTCCAAGTACAAAAAAATCAATAAAAAATATTTTTAGTGTCAAACAGAAAACTTAAGAAGTGCTGAGAACATTGGAAGTGCTGAGAAGATTGGCGCATTAGAGAACATAGGCCATAAAAGGCCCATTTGTGTAAATATTTTCAATACTATTGCTCACGCCCATTGCTTTCTTCCTGATATTTGGAAATCACATGATTTTTATCAAAATGAATAGCATTTTTATAGTACTCAAGTCTGCCTTGATTGCCTTGAGAACCTGATTATAGCATGATAGCACAGAATGCCCATTTTAATTGGACATTGAGTAAAGTTACAGAAATGATTCCTGGCATCTGTGATCCATTGCAGTGGTTGGTAAACTTTTTCATAAAAGACCAGAAATCTAACATTTTTGCAGGCCAAGGAGTGAAATAGACTTTATAATGTTGGTCCCCATATAATCTTTTACAATGTAAGCATTTGCAAATATAAAAAACGTTCTTATCTTATAGACCATAAAACATCCAAACAATGTTAACAACAAAAACGGTAACAAAAACTTAATTTTTTAAAAACAGAAACAAAAAACAGATAATGGGCCAAATTGGGTATATTCAGAAGATATGTGATACCTGGAGGACACTTCAAGTTCATTTATCTAGTTTTGATTAAGATTAACTGCATATAGGAGGTTTCAGGAGGACCCACTGTGCAGCCATACAGAGTGGGGACATGGGTTTCTTGGCTCTTTCCCCAACCCCCCCTGGTGTCCTCAGGTCACCCTGCTACAGCTTCAGTGTCTTCACCACCCCCAATGCTTCTATCTCAGCCTCCTTATGCTTATTCTTGCTTCTTTCTCAGCTTCAGGCAAAAATCATAAAAGCAGTATGGAAGTGACTCATATTTTGGAAACACTAAAATAATAACATATGACTAAATTTAGCATAGAAATGTTAAAAACGTGAAATGGTGAAATCAAACGGCAATTAGTGATGACAAACACTCACCTGAGCTGTGCTAACTGCTGCTGCCACCCACCAAATGCATAATGACATGTGCTCAGATTGCTCTGTTTTGCAGAAAATAATCAACTCAAATTACTGTGTGTATTGATTTCAGGTTAGACATTAAAACAGATTTCAGGATAATATGTTTCCCTTGATACATTCACAAATCTTTGAAGATTTATAAAGGACTTATTGGGAAATGATAAAATAAATTATTGTATTAGTTAAATATGCCATTTCTCTATTTCTACAAAACATGCCTTTGGGTCCTCTGTTATTCCTGAGTCTACTGGAAGAGCATTTAAGAAGTCTCTACTCTTAAAATGTGCAAAAAATAGCATATTTCTCTCATTTCTGCATTAAGATTTCAGAGGATGTCAGTTAGATGTTGCACAGCATTTTATAAATTATTCCTCAGGAAAAAAAATAGAAAGTTGAGAGTAGAGATCAGTAGGTCTACAAAGTGAATGTGAGGGCATTCCTGAGAAAAATTGTTGGAAAAGAAGAGTAGCTCGTTATTCTTATATATGGTAGTGGTTTCTAATGGTTTAGCACCATAGCTGGCTTGCTTAATAGATGTAAGCACATTTAAGGTCTCCAGTATAACATTGGGTGTTCTACAAACAAGGATGAAGATAAAAAAAAATGGACAGACAATTGAAAAATATGAAATTCTAATAATTAGTGTATAGGAAAAAATGCTTGCTTTTATTCACAGAGAAAGAAATTCAAATATATTAGTTCATTCTCACACTGATATAAAGAACTCCCTGAGATTGGGTAATTTATAAAGAAAAGACATTTAATTGACAGTTTCACAGGCTGTACCGGAAGCATGGCTGGGAGGCCTCAGGAAACTTTCAACTATGGTGGAAGACAAAGGGAAACCAGCGCATCTCACATGGCAGGAGCAGGAGGAAGAGAGAAAGGAAAGGTGCTACACACTTTCAAATAACCAGATCTCCTGAGATCTCTATCACATCACAAGACAGCACTAGGGGGATGGTGCTAAACCATTAGGAACCACTACCATGATCCAATCACTTCCACCAGGCCCCACCTCCAAGACTGGGGATCACAATTCAACATGAGATTTGGGTGGGGACACAGCCAAACCATATCATCAAAAAAAAAAAACACCAATGAGATATTGTCTTCCCAGAGTACTGACAAAAGTTGACACAATGAATAGCATCTTTGGTTGGCAAATATATGGAAATATAAGGACTCTTATTAATTTATAGATCTATAATTACTTAAATTTTTGAAAAGTTAATTTGTTCCTCTTTATTTTTAAAAGTACTTAAATACTCTTTTTATCATGTAGCATTCCTTTGAGAACAAGTGAGAAAAAAATTAATTCAAATTGGGTGAACTCCTAAAGGAAATTCATTGGCACATGGGCTGAAAAGTGAAGGGTTTGGGGGTCACCTGATTTGGGACTCAAAAAATGCCAGTAGTGATCAATTAATCTCTCTCCCTCTGTCCTTTTATCTACACCTTCGATTTTGATTGAATTTCCAAAATGAAGTAGCACGTCTGGAACTTACATTCTGGAGCTTTCATTATGTATAGAGGTCCAGCATCTGTTCCCAGAAATCTTAGTAAAAGTCTCATAAGATCTCATGATTCCTATAAGTTCTCATATCAATGTTTTAACCACTCTCTGTGACTGTGATAATGATATCAGATAAGAGTGTTCTGAATAATGGCAGCTTTGAATCTGAGTAGAATCAGACCCGCTAAAACTACATGATACCTGCAACAAATGGTTCCCAAGAAAGAAACTAAGGTATGGTTGTCAAAAGGCTGAACAATAATTTTCTGAAAAGGAAATATTTCCATACTCCCTTTTTATGTACACAATCATATTTTTGGATTCTATTTCACCATGTTTAAATACTTATGCTTAAATATAAATGAACAAAGATGTTTATTGCAATTTGTCTCAAATATTTAAAAAGCCAGACCATAGAGCAATATATAGTTAACAACATTTTGGTATATAAATATTAGGAAATAAAATATAGTCATTTAATAAAATATTAAAGTCTAAGATTTAGTGGTAAATGAAAAAAATTACAATACTGGCATGTGTAAAGAATGATTCATTTTTCCCCAGCAAACATGAAAATGTAGAAAGTGTTTATATAGATATGAGTATTTATAAAATATCATGAACGAAAGGAAAACTCTTGATAGATGCCTATCACAGGGAGGAGATGAGATAAAATCCACTCTAGATCTGCCTTTTGATTTATTTAGGATTTATTTGACAAGTGACAGAGAACCCATCTCAAACTGGTTAAATCCCAAAAGGAAAGGTGTGAATCTGAAGTGTAGAGGATTTTACATGCAGCCTTATCCAAATATAAATGTCTACAGGGCACAATTTATATCTTTCCTTCTCTGTGATGTATCATCATTTATACTGACTGCATTTTAAGAGAGGTAGCAATTTCAGGACTTACCTTATTGAAGCTTTCTTTACATCTTGTAAATAAAAGTGGAAGAAGCCTATTATTTTCAATTTAGATACCTCTAAAAGAGAAAATTACTTCATTGGGCAAATATCATTTTAAATTATTTGAATACTTAAAAAATATAAAATTAAAAAAGAAATAAAATAAACAAATGAGTCAGGCAATGGATGAATACTAAATCCAGAGTGTCTATCCAGAGAGAGATGAGGCATAAACTTAAAATATATCCAAATAGAATTAACTGAAGAAAATCAAAGTAATCAGCGTTAGGGAGTTATGGCAACCAGTAGTAGGATTTCATGCATGGGGCACTTAGATGCAGTGGAAGAAAATATAGTCCATGAGTCCAAACAGTGACACTTTCTTTCTTTTTTTTTTTTTCCTTATTTCTTCTAAAAAAACAGAGGGATACATGTGCAGAAAGTGCAGGTTTGTTACATAGGTATACATACATGTGCCATGGTGGTTTGCTGCAGCTATTAACCCATTCTTTTAGTTCTCTCCCCTCACCATCCACCCCACAACAGGCCCTGGTATGTCTTGTTCCCCTGTCTGTGTCCATGTGTTCTCAATGTTCAAGTCCCACTTAGGAGTGAGAACATGTGGTGTTTGCTTTTCTGTTCCTGTGTTAGTTTGCTGAGATGATAGCTTCCAGCTTCATCCATGTCCCTACCAAGGATATGATCTCATTCCTTTTCATGGCTGCATAGTATTTCATGGTGTCTATGTACCACATTTTCTTTATTGAGTCTATAATTGATGGGCATTTGGATTGGTTCCATATCTTTGCTATTGTAAATAGTGTTGCAATAAACATACATGTGCATGTGTAATTATAGTAGAATGATTTATATTCCTTTGGGTATATACCCAGTAATGGGATTGCTGGGCCAAATGGTATTTCTGGTTCTAGAACCTTGAGGAATCACCATATTGTTTTCCACAATGGTTGAAGTGGTTTACATTCCCACCAACAGTGTAAAAGCGTTCCTATTTCTCCACAGCCTCACCAGCATCTATTGTTTCCTGACTTTTTAATAATCGCCATTGTAATTGGTGTGAGATGGTATCTCATTGTGGTTTTGATTTGCATTTATCTGATGATCAGTGATGTTGAGCTTCTTTTTTCATGTTTGTTGGCCACGTAAATATCTTCTTTTGAAAAGTGTCTGTTCATATCCTTTGCCCATTTTTTGATGAGGTTGTTTGTTTTTTTCTTGTAAATTTCCCAAGTTCCTTGTAGATTCTCAGTATTAGGCCTTTGTCAAATGGGTAGATTGCAAAAATTTTCTCCCATTCTGTAGGTTGCCTGTTCACTCTGATGATAGTTTCTTTTGCTGTCCAGAAACTCTTTTGTTTAATTAGATCCTATTTTTCAATTTTGGCTTTTGTTGCAATTGCTTTTGGTGTTTTAGTCATGAAGTCTTTGTCCATGCCTATGTCCTGAATGGTATTGCCTAGGTTTTCTTCTAGGTGTTTTATGGTTTTGGGTTTCACATTTAAGTCTTTAATCCAGCTTGAGTTAATTTTTGTAGAAGGTGTAAAGAAGGGGTCCAGTTTCTGTTTTCTGCATATGGCTAGCTTGTTTTCCCAGCACCATTTACTGAATAGGAGATCCTTTCCCCATTGCTTGTTTTTGTCAGGTTTGTCAAAGATCAGATGGTTGTAGATTTGTAGTGCTATTTCTGAGGTCTCTGTTCTGCATCACTGGTCTATATGTCTGTTTTAGTACTGGTACCATGCTGTTTTGGTTACTGTAACTTGTAGTATAGTTTGAAGTCAGGTAGCGTGATGCCTCCAGCTTTGTTCTTTTTGCGTAGAATTGTCTTGGCTATATGCGGTCATCTTTGATTCCACATGAAATTTAAAATTGTTTTTTCTAATTCTCTGAAGAACCTCAATGGTAGTTTGATGGGAATAGCATTGAATCTATAAATTACACTGGGCAGTATGGCCATTTTTACAATATTGATTCTTCCTATCCGTGAGGATGAAATGTTTTTCCATTTGTTTGTGTCCTCTCTGATTTCCTTGAGCAGTGGTTTGTAGTGCTCCAGGAAGAGGTTCTTCCCTTCCCTTGTTAGCTCTATTCCTAGGTATTTTATTCTCTTGTAGCAATTGTGAATGGGAGTTTATTCATGGTTTGGTTCTCTGCTTGCCTATTGTTGGTGTAAAGGAATGCTTGTGATTTTTTGCATATTGATTTTGTACCCTGATACTGCTGAAGTTCCTTATCGGTTCAAGAAGTTTTAGGGCTGAGATGGTGGGGTTTTATAAATATAAAATCATGTTGTCTGCAAAGAGACACAACTTGAGATACTCTCTACCTGTTTTAACACGCTTTATTTCTTTCTCTTGCCTGGTTGCCCTGGACAGAACTTCCAAAACTCTGTTGAATACGAGTGGTAAGAAAGGTCATCCTTGTCTTGTACTGGTTTTCAAAGAGAATGCTTCCAGCTTATCTTCATTCAATATGATATTGGTTGGGGTTTGTCATAAATCTCTCTTATTATTTTGATATATGTCCCATCAATACCTAGATTATTGAGAGTTTTTAACACGAAAGGATGTTGAATTTTATCAAAGGCCTTTTCTGCATCTATTGAGATAATCATGTGGTTTCTGTCTTTGATTCTGTTTATGTGATGGATTATGTTTATTGATTTGCATATGTTGAACCAGCCTTGCATACCAGCAATGAAGCCATCTTGATTGTGATGTATAAGTTTTTTGATGTGCTGTTGGATTTGGTTTGGCAATATTTTATTGACGATTTTTGCATCAATGTTCATCAGGGATAATGACCTGAAGTTTTCTTTTTTTTGTCATGTCTCTTCCCAGTTTTTGTATCAGGATGATTCTGGCTTCATAAAATGAGTTAGGGAGGAGTCCCTCCTTTTCAAATGTTTGGAATAGTTTCAGAAGGAATGGTACCAGCTCCTCCTTGTATTTCTGGCAGCATTCAGCTATGAATCTGTCTGGTCCTGGGCTTTTTTTTTGGTTGATAGGCTATTAATTACTGCCTCAGTTTCAGAGCTTGTTATTGGTCTATTCAGGGATTCAACTTCTTCCTGGTTTAGTCTTTGTAGAATGTATGCATCCAGGGATTCCTCCATATCTTCTAGATTTTGTAGTTTGTTTGCATAGAGTTGTTTATAGTATTCTCTGATGGTAGTTTGTATTTCTATGGGGTCAGTGCTGATATCTTCTTTATCATTTTTTATTGTCTATTTAATTCTTCTTTCTCTTCTTTATTAGTCTGGCTAGTGGTCTATCGATTTCGTTAATTTTTTCAAAAAACCTGCTCCTGTATTTGTTGATTTTTTGGAGGGTTTTTCGTGTCTGTATCTCCTTCAGTTCTTCTCTAATCTTAGTTATTGCTTATCTTCTGCTAGCTTTTGATTACTTTGCTCTTGTCTCTCTAGGTCTTTTAATTGTAATGTTAGGAAGTTGATTTGAGATCTTTCTAGCTTTCTGATGTGGGCATTTAGTGCTATAAATTCCCTCTTAACACCGCTTTAGCTGTGTCCCAGAGATTCTGGTACATTTTCTCTTTGTTCTCATTGGTTTGAAAGAAATTCTTGATTTCTGCCTTAATTTCATTATATACCCAGGAGTCATTCAGGAGCAGGTTGTTCAATTTCCATTAAATTGTATGGTTTTTAATGAGTTTCATAATCCTGAGTTCTAATTTGATCGCACTGTGGTCTGAGAGACTGTTTGTTATTATTGCAGTTCTTTTGCATTTGCTGAGGAGTGTTTTACTTCTGATTTTGTGGTCAATTTTAGAATAAGTGCCATGTGGCACTGAGAAGATGTATATTCTGTTGCTTTGAAGTATAAAGTTCTGTAGATGTCTAATAGGCCCACTTGATCCAGAGCTGAGTTCAAGTTCTGAATATCCTTGTTAAGTTTCTGTCTCATTGATCTGTCTAATACTGACAGTGGGTTGTTAAAGTCTCCCATTATTATAATGTGGGAGTCTAAGTCTCTTTGTAGGTCTCTAAGAACTTGTTTTATAAATCTGGGTCCTCCTGTATTGCGTGCATATATATTTAGAATAGTTAGCTCTTCTTGTTGAATTGTTCCATTTGCCATTATGTAATGCCTTTCTTTGTCTTTTTTGATCTCTGTTGGTTTAAAGTCTGTTTTGTCAGAGACTAGGATTGCAACCCCTGCTTTTCTTTGCTTTCCATTTGCTTGGTAAATTTTCCTCCATACCTTTACTTTGAGCCTTTGTGTGTCTTTGCATGTAAGATGGATCTCCTGAATACAGCACACCGATGGGTCTTGACTCCTTATCCAATTTGCCAGTTTGTGTCTTTTAGGTGGGGCATTTAGCACATTTACATTTAAGGTTAGTATTGTTATGTGTGAATTTTATCCTGTCATCATGATGCTAGCTGGTTATTTGATCCTATCATCATTATGCTAGCTGGTTATTTTGCACAATAGTTGATGCAGTTTCTTTATAGTGTCATTGGACTTTACATTTAGGTGTGTTTTTGCAGTGGCCTGTACCAGTATTTCCGCTCCATATTTACTGCTTCTTTCAGGATCTCTTGCAGGACAGGCCTGGTGGTAATGAAATCCCTCAGCATTTGCTTGTCTGGAAAGGGTTTTATTTCTCCTTTGCTTATGAAGCTTAGTTTGGCTGGATATGTAATTCTGTGTTGAAAATTCTTTTTTCAAAGAATGTTGAATATTGGCCCCCAGTCTATTCTGGCTTGTAGAATTTCTGCTGAGAGGTTTACTGTTATTCTGCTGAGCTTCTCTTTGAAGGTGACCTGATCTTTCTCTCTGGCTGCCCTTAACAGTTTTTCCTTTATTTCGACCTTGGAGAATCTGATGATTATGTGTCTCAGGGTTGATCTTCTCATGGAGTGTCTTAATGGTTCTCTGTATTTCCTGAATTTGAATGTTGGCCTGTCTTGCTCATTGGGGAAGTTCTCCTGCATCATATCCTGAAGTGTGTATTCCAGCTTGTTTTCATTCTCCCTGTCTCCTTCTGGTACTCCAATCAATTGTAGGTTTGGGCTTCTTATGAAGCCCCATACTTCTTGGAGGTTTTGTTCATTCCTTGTTATTATTTTTTCTCTATTCTTTTCTGCATGTCTTATTTCAGTAAGGTAGTCTTCCACGTGGTCGATTCAGCTGTTAATACTTGTGTATGCTTCACAAAGTTCTTGTGCTGTGTTTTTCAGCTCCATCAGGTCATTTATGTTCCTTTCTAAACTGGTTATTCTAGATAGCCATTCCTTGAACCTTTAATCAACATTCTTAGCTTCTTTGCATTGGGCTAGAACATACTTCTTTAGCTCATTATAGTTTTTAATTACCCAGCTTCTGAAGCTTATTTTTGTCAATTCATCCATCTGATCCTCCGTCCAGTTCTACGTCCTTGATGGAGAGATGTTGTGATCATTTGGAGGAGAAGAGACACTCTGGTCTTTTGGGTTTTCAGCATTCTTTTTGTTGATTCTTTCTCATCTTCGTGAGTTTGTCTAGTTTCAGTCTTTGTGCCTCTCACCCTGGGATGGGGTTTTTGTGGAGGCCTTTTTGTTGTTGTTGTTGTTGATGCTTTGTTGTCACTTTCTGCTTGTTTGTTTTTATTTCAATAGTGAGGTCCCTCTTTTGTAGGGCTGCTGGAGTTTGCAGGGGGTTCACTTCAGGCCCTATTCAAGTGATTCACTCCAGTGCCTGGAGATGAAGAGTGACACTTTCTAATGATCCTAACACAGCCAAAAGCTTTCCTTTAATAGGTACTTCCTTTGTTGTCTGTGGTTACTTTTGCTTTCATATGCTTGTACATTTGAATTCCAGTGCCACCTACTTCATGGTTGAAATCATGTACAACTTAGGAAATATAGTTGCAATTAGAATTGAACAATTGTTACAACGTTATAGAAACTGGAAATATTTACAATTTTATTATAGAGTAGAATTCCTGTGGCTGGGTAGCTTGTTACTAAAGCAATACAGTGAGTAGGGATTAAGAAGAGAGTTTAATTCGGAATGGGTTTGACTCTTGCCTTTGCATGTACTAGTTATGGAGGTTCAATAAGTTTCAGTTTTCTCATCCTTAAAGAGGGTGGTACAGTTATCAGTTTATTTACTCTTAATTCTAAATCCACCCCTCATGCTCAGCTTCCTGATTCTGGATCTGGACCCTGTGAACATTTTTCTTTTGCCATTGGAACAATGTTGGACTTCGCCAGGAGAAGGCAGTGAAGGGACACCAGAAGACATAAGCAGAAGGAAGGCTTTTGCTCCTGGTTCTGGTGTACTTTTCTTCTTACCTCTATGTCACAGCTGATTATCTTATGCGGGAGACCCAGTGACATTCCCCCTCCTATGAGTTTGCCAGCACCACAGGGTGTAGCTTTAGTGGCCCTACTCCCCAGACAAATTTAGCTCAGCTTTCTGATTACTAGCCCTGTCCTGCCTGCTGCTGGCCAGCTTTGATGCCAGGCACTGCAGGGAACTTCTCTGCTATCCAAGGGTCTGCAGCCACATCCTCTTCAAAGAGGTCTGAATCTTATCCTTCAGGTAGCCCTTTCCATGTGTGCTCTTTCAAAGCCCTATGGATCATAGCTACTTGACGACTTTGCTACTTGTGTAGCAAAAGTTCTTTTTAGAACTTTCTCTTACCTCTTGTAGTAATTAACTATGTTTTTCTAATTAATAATTCTTCCTATCTAGTTTTCTGCCTTTAAATTACTAATATGTTTTTGTGTTCTGAATAGATCTTGATCAATAAAGTGGGATAATAAAAATATGTCCCTTTTAGAGGTTGTTGAGAAGTTTAAATAAAGCAATATACGAAGTGCTCAACAAATCCTAGCTATAATTATTATTGAATGCTTTTTATAATGATTTAGCAAATTCTAAAGAATGAAATGTTTTCTTCACATGTTAGACCATTTTTTTTTATTTAGAATTATCCCTCTTCCCTTCTCAGTGATCTGGGTTTAGTTGTGTGGCAAGATAATGTTTGAAATGTGTAGCTATCTAACCACCCACAAGGCTGATCTGACAGACCTGGGCAAGGCCTATAGCTTTGATGGAAAATATAGGAATTATTTACATTTTCTTTATTTGCATTTGACTAGATTATTACATAGTTTATTCCTAAAATGGTTTTTTGATTTGTTTTGTTTCAGAAGCATTTTCAACATGTTTAACATTCTTACTACAGAAAAAACCTCTTAAAATTTTTTTTTTTCCAAATGAAGAAAAGTAAGAGAGGTGGGTTATGTTATAAAATTCAGAAATTTTACTCTGCTATTTTATAAATAGTTAAACGGGATTATCCATCTATATAATAATTAATTTTCCACTTACTGTTTTGTATAAACCCAGTAAGAATTCATTCATTCAAAACACAAAATGCTAACTGTGATTTCACTTGTTTGGAGCAGAAGGCCACATTCAAAATGCTGTTTCAGGAATACATTTTCATTTCTGAAAGTGGTAATATATTTTGTTTTAATTTTCATGTTGTGTACCCATACATAAAATTAGGAGAAATTTAATCAGCTACAAATACCACCACAAAGAAGCCTGGGAACTTGGGTACCGGTAATTGGAATTGCTGTTCAACTGCAAATTGCTCACTTGATGAAGGTTTTATTCATGGCCCTTTTCTTTATACATTTCAAAACAATACTTGAAGTTCAATTTATTTTACTGATGTATACAATTTTTTATATAGAAAAATAGAAAATTGGTGGAAAGGATAAAAGTTATGCCTACTGGGAGGCACACACACAAGTTTCCTTTAATAGGAAGAACTGTATCTGAAGTGGGGTAGAGAATCGATAATCAAGAAAGCCAAGATGTTAATAAAAACCAAGTTGTATAAAGCCAACTTTATACAACCAAGTTGTATAAAGCCAGAAAATAGATGTCACAAAATGGTATCCTATTTTTAAGGTGGTGTTAGAAAGAGGGTATTTACAACAATATGGGGAGGGTGCAGAGAAATCACAAAGGATAATGCCATACCCAGAAGGCTATTATCAGCATATCTGTTACCACTTCGAAGCCAGGGAAGAATTTGTATGGGGAAGTGCCAGCTACAGAAACCTAGAATGAGAGGACAGTATAGAGGAGGCTTCCTTGAGGGAAGCATTGACCATCAGTTGAAGGACTGAAACAGTACAAGGTGATCCCACAGAGATGGAACTGCAGGAATAAACTCCATGATCTCATCCTCTCACCCTCTGATCACCTGCAGAATCTCCCCTTGGTTTAAATCAATGGGAAACCAGCAGAGTTTAAGGGAGACTATTGATGTATTTCAACAAAGTCAGCCTACCGGGACAAAGAACAGAATGGGGAATAATGGGGAATGGATTTGAAGGAACAAACAAAAGATATCTAGCAAACTATTTTAACATAAAAATAAAATTTTAACCACCTCATGTGACATGACAAGAAACAGGAAACCATAAGGATATAGAATAAAACCTAGACAAAAATAAGCATAGGCTGATTCTTTTAACACTTCTTACCACTTGAAACTTGATAGCCTACTTTTTAAAGCCAAGTGTTATATAGTGTATAAACTAAATTAAAAGACAAAGAGAAGATGAAATTAAAAAAAACTGTTGAGTATTGAAAACAGAATTGATTGCACATATTTCTCTATTTGGAAAAGTGAGTCTTGCTACAGACTTATACACATTTATGTCTAAATAAATATTTTGAAGTGTTTAAAGTATTTTTTTAAATCTCAAAATAGATTTTATATATGAAAAAGCATGTTATATAGAAGAAAAGATTTCCTGATACTGGGAGAAAGCTTTTTTTTTTTTTTTAAAGAATTCAGGTTTATTAATTAGTATGTTTGGACATTTTTTAAGGGACTTTTTAATGTGAAGTGCACTTTCCATTCTGTTCCTAATGCATTCTTGAAGTTGAAAAAACTAGTCGTGCATGTTATACAAATAGCAGCAGAGTTCACCCTCTTTTTTAAAAAAAGTTTTGTACCATTTTACTTTAGTTAAATAAATTCTACTGTTATTAATAATACACTCTTAAAATGCTATTTTATTTTAGGATGTTTTGTGTTTTTGACTTGTTATCATGATTTGAAATGCAGCTGGTTGCCCTTCAAAAACAATGTTTAGATAGTAGTACCAATGTTAACATATCTAAGTGAGACCAATATCCCAGATGCACACATAGGAACATAAGGAATTAAAAAGCCTTTCTGCAAAAAAAAAAAAAAAAAAAATCATAAAGTGGAAAATGGGTTTCCAGATAACTGAGAGTCAATGGGCTTTCTGTTTACTCAATGTAGGCAGGATAGAGAAAAATCAAAGGAAAGCCTCTAGAGACATTTTTGGATTCCATAAAGCCATTGAAACTTGCAGATTTACACAAGGGATTTTGCAGGTTAAGTGTTTGGAAAGTAGATTTCTCAGCATGTTCTGGTATGATAAGGGTTTTAAGGCAGATGGATATAATGTGAATATAATTAAACCCTTTTCAGATAATAGTATAATAATGCTATGTTCTCTAAGGATAGGCAGAACTGCTGCTCTGCTCTGAGTACATTTCATCCATTTCGATCTATGTGTTCTATTCTATTCCAGGGTTTCATTAGGAATAATTTCCATGCATATAGTTCCCAAGACTTCATTTTATTGTTCTAATGTCACCAGCACCTTAAATAAAGATCCACATTGTTGAATAAAAAAAGACACATAGGCAAAGAAAGGGAAGGAACTGAAGCAAAATAAATGAAAGAGTTCTCAGGCAATATTTTTATATACACATTTTTGTTATAATTTAAGAATTGTTTTTAAAGTATTAGTGTCTTTGAAGTCTCATAGGACAGTAGAAAAAAACTGGAACCTTAAATATTAATGGAACCAAAAAAATACATTTGCTTTGGTTCAGAATGATTTTTACTGTAGTGGTAATATTAATACTCTTCTTGCTTTCTTTTATCTGATTTGCCATTTTTTTTTCCAGAAAAAGAAATTTAGCCAACTTTCTTATCTCCATATTTCAAATACTCTAAGCATTGAATAGTTATCTTTATTTTTTTGAAAAAAATTTATAATCTCTATCAAACAAATTTGTGCATATTTTCATCTTCTTTAATTAAAAACATCAAAAACAGAGCAAAAGGTAATATTCTTCAAATTGATTTAAAATTGAAATTTTAAGCAATTTATTCTAATCTGAAATAGAGCTCATATACTGGCTGAAAAAACAAACAAACTTATAGTTCCTTCACTGACTATGACACGATCAAGAATAAAACAGAGAGAAGCCCCTTCAGGAAAAAAGAAAGATTTTACTACTTACATTATAAAATTATAAACTGTATCTTATATTTGTATATGGTTTTTATATGGAGTATGTAAACCCAGATAAAAATAAAAATATTAGTACAGCTGGGAAATGACTAGGTCATATTCCTCCCTCTCCACACAATTCATCCATAAATTCCTAACAAACACTTTGCTTATAACAAGAGTTGTATATATATTTGATAAATAAATAAATGCAAAGCAAATAAAATAGATTTTTTGTCTATAAAATAGATTATAAAAGATATAATCTATTATATTATATTATATATATATAAATATTTATTTATTATTTATAAATTATAAATATATATTTATATATATAACTATATATATTTATATATAACTATATATATTTATATATATATTTAAATATATAAATATATATATAACTATATATATTTATATATAAATATATATATTTAAATATATAAATATATATATAACTATATATATTTATATATTATAAAAGATAATCTATTTTATAGACAAAAAAGGAACAAAGAGAAAAAAAAGAAAGCCTAATCTAGAAATTATCACTTAAGAAATAAGCAGAAGCACTTATGAATTCATGGATTATATATCAATTGAATTACGAGTCTTTGGCATTTTTTTTTTCATTTTAAGACATGGGATCAACTAGCCTGTTAGTTTTTTTTGTTGTTGTTGTTTTAATTTATGAAAAGAAAAAGTGCAAACCACTGGATATACACCTGGTATAAAAGAAAAATAAACTACCTGAAGGATAAGAAATCTTGGTTCCACCTTATCCCTTGAACCATAAATAAACTTCATGTTATAACTGAAACTCATTGTCCTCAGTAGAAAATTAAAGATTTGACTATACAATTACTCACATTTCCTTCTAGAGCTAATATGTGATGATTCTCAATGTAAACAAAAATGTATATTTCTCTACAGACACATAGAGTCTCAGAAAGATCCATAGAATGCTCATTATTTGTAATGACAGATTTACAGCCCCAAAATGTAATTAAATAGACCTTCTAATCCATACATTGGAAGAATGAGAACTAAGCACAGTCAGTTCTTGTGGTGCACAGACAGACAGATACACATACAATCTCTTTGAAATCTTTCATTGACGTCTTCCAGCTCTCTAAGTTAAGACCATCGAATTATTACATGTAAATAATCAATTTTTATACAAATCAGCATATAGGATTAGAATAAATAATGATAGGTGCCTACCTCTTTCATCTTCTGAAAGTATTATTTTGCTTGTTTTATAATAAAAATACATTTTAAAATGCTTAAAATATTACAAAATTAGAGGATCAATAACCAGAAACTTTAAGAAGTGTTTTAAAAACAGAAAACAGTGTGATTATGAAGTAGGAGAAGATAATCTAAAATACACATTAAAGAAAATTTTTATAAAAAAGTGAAAGTGATTTTGTGAGTGCTTAGTAGTCAGAGACAAAGATACAGATCATTGTTTCAGAAACTAAATTTAGAGCTGTCAGTCTTGGAGGCCTTTTTCCCCTTATTTCTCCTTCTTAAATCCATTTGTGCACAGCACTAGGTGTTGTTTTCAGGCTGCGGCTTTCAGTGGAAGATGGGATGGAGGGAAAGGGGGAGGACCCTTCAGTCCTTGATGGTGGTAACATATGAGGGAATGAACTTCCCCAATGTCTAGAAAACAATGATGGCAAACTTCTATCAGGTTCACCCTGATCCTGATCTCCCAAATTATGGGAGAATGTATGGTAAACACAAATATTATTTCAAACATTTGAAGAAAATCAACATGATAAATGAGAGGCATAAAAAGACAAGAATCAGAATATTATGTGTCTGAGGTATCACCTACTATAACACAAAAAAAATTTGAAAAAAATATAATGCCTGTACTAAAGAGATAAAAGAAGATAGTGCATTCATGAAACAAAGAAGAAACAAACGCAAACATAAAAAGTCACAACTGATGTAGATGTAATAGATTTCTGTATTTTAAAAGTACTGTTTAATAAATGAAAACAGATTCCAAACATTCCAAAATCTCTGGGATGCAACTAGAGCAGTGTTAAGAGGAATGTTTACAGTGATATGTACCTACATCAAAAAATTAGAAAGATCTCAATTTATTTTTTATTTTATTTTATTTTTTATTATACTTTAAGTTCTAGGGTACATGTGCACAACTTGCAGGTTTGTTACATATGTATACATGTGCCATGTTGGTGTGCTGCACCCATTAACTTGTCATTTACACTAGGTATATCTCCTGATACTATCCCTCCCCCCTCCCCCAACCCCATGACAGGCCCCGGTGTGTGATGTTATCTAACATTATACCTAGAGGAAATATTAAAACAAGAAAAGACTAACTTCAAAGCTAGCAGAAGAAAATAAATAGCTAAAATTAAGGTAGAAATGAATAAATTGAGACCCCAAAATTCATAAAAAGAATCAATAAACCAAAACCCAGTTATTCGAAAGGATAAACAGGATTGATAGACAACTAGCTAGATTAACAAAGAAAAAAAGAGAGAAGATACAAATAAGCACAATCAGAAACAACAAAGCTGTTGTTACAACCAACCTCACAGAAATACAAAAGACCCTCAAAGAGTTTTATGAACACCTCTATGCACACAAACTAAAAAATCTAGAGGAAATGAATAAAATCCTGGAAACATACAGCCTACCAATATTGAAACAGGAAAAAATTCGAAGCCCTGAATAAACTAATAAAGAGTTCTAAAATTAAATCAGCAATTAAAAAACAAAACAAAACCAAAAAACTACCAACCAAAAAAAGTCCAAAACTAAGTGGATTCATAGGAGAATTCTACCATATATACAAAGAACTGGTACCAATTCCACTGAAACTCTTCTAAAATATTGAGGAGGAGAAATTCCTCTCCAGCTCTTTTTACAAAGCCAGACTCACCTGGATACTAAAACCTAATAAGGACACAATGAAAAAAGAAAACTATAGGACAACATCCCTGATCAACATAGATACAAAATTCCTCAACAAAATACTAGCAAATCGAATTCAACAGCTCATCAAAAAGTTAATTCACCATGATCAAGCAGGCTTCATTCCTACAATGCAAGGTTGGTTCAACATAAGCAAATTAATAAATGTTAATTCACCACATAAACAGAAATAAAAAGTCAAACAATGTGATCATCTCAATAGATGCAGAAAAAGCTTTTAATAAAATCCAATATCCCTTCATGATAAAAACCGTCATCAAACTAGGCATTAAAGGAATACACTTCAAAATAATAAGACAAACCCACAGCCAACATCATACCAAATGGGCAATAGCTGGAAGCATTCCCCTTAAAAACAGGAACAAGACAAGTATGTCCACTCTCACTACTCCTATTCGTCATAGTACTGGTAGTCCTGGCCAGAGAAATCAGGCAAGAGAAAGAAATAAAAGCCATCTGAGCAGAAAAAGTAAAAGTCAAATTATCTCTTTGTAGATGATATGATACTATATGTAGAAAACCCCAAAGACTCTGCTGAAAGAGTCCTAGAATTGATTAATGACTTTAGTAAAGTTTCAGGGTACAAAGTCAATGTACACAAATCAGTATCATTTCTACACCTCAATAACATTCAGTTTTTGAGAGCCAAATAAAAAATGCAATCCCATTTATATTAGCCACACCCACATACAAATAACTAGGAATACATCCAACCAAGAAAGTGAAGGATCTCTACAACAAGAACTGTAAAACACTACTGAAGGTAATCAGATGACACAAACAAATGGAAGAACATTCCATGCTCATCCATTGGAAAAATCAGTGTCTTTAAAATGTCTAAACTGCCCAAAGCATTCTATAGATTTGATGTTATTGCTACTAAACTACTGTTGTCATTTTTCATACAATTAAAAATTACTATCTTAAAATACATATGCGACCAAAAAAGAGCCCAAACAGCCAAAGCAGTTCTAAGCAAAAAATACAAAGCTCGAAGTATCGCATTACGTGACTTCAAACTATACTGTAAGGCTGCAGTAACCAAAACAGCACGGTACGGGTACAAAAGCAGAAAGAGACACATAGAGCAATGGAACAGAAAAGAGAAACTGGAAATAAAACTGCACACCTACTGCCATCTGATCTTCAACAAAGAAGACAAAAATAAGCAGTGGTAAAGACTGCCTATTCAATAAAAGGTGCCAGGATAGCTGGGTCATCATATGCAGAAGAGTGATACTGGACCCCTACTTTCCACCTTATATAAAAATTAACTCAATACAAATTAAAGATTTAAATGTAAGACCTCAAATTATCAGAATCCTAGGAGAAAATCTAGGCAACAGCATTCTGTATGTTGGCCTTGGGAAAGAATTTATTAGAAAGTCCTCAAAAGCAATTGCAATAAAAACACAAACTGACAAGTGGGATCAAATTAACCTGAAGAGCTTCTGTACAGCAAAAGGAAAATCTACAGAGTAAACAGACAATCTACAGAATGGGAGAATATATTTGCAAACTATGTATCTGACAAAGATCTAATATCCAAAATCTGTAACGAACTTAAACAATTCAACAAGCAAATAAAAAAAAACCCCATTACAAAATAAGCAAAAGACATGAACAGGCATTTCTCAAAAGAAGACATACAAATGGCCACTAAACATATGAAAAAAATGCTTAATGTCACTTATTTACAGACAAATGTAAATCAAAACCATGGTGAAATACCATTTCATGGTAGTCAGAATTAAAAAGTCAAAAATCAACAGATGCTAGTGAGGCTACAGAACAAAAGGAATCCTTACATTGTTAGTGGGAATGTAAATTAGTTCAGCTTGGCTGAAAGTGGCTTGGAAGTTTCTCAAATAACTTATAACAAAACTATCATCTGACCCAACAATCTCATTGACTGGGTATATAACCAGAGGAAAATAAATCATTCTACCAAAAAGACGCATGCACTTTTATGTTCATCACGGCAATCTTCACAATAGCAAAGACAGGGAATCAAACTTGATGCCCCCATCAACATGGATGGGGTAAAGAAAATGTGGTAAATATACACCATAAAATACTATTTTGCCATACAAAGAATGAAATCACGTCTTTTGTAGCAACATGGATGCAGCTGGAAGTCTTTACCCTAAGTGAATTAATGCAAGAACAGTAAACCAAATACTGCATGCTTTCATTTATAAGTGGGTCCTAAGCATTGGCTATGCATGAATATAAAGATGGGAACAATAGACACTGTGGACTACTAGAGGGGAGAAAAGGAGGAGTGCAAGGGCCGAAAAGCTACCTATTGGGTTTTATACTCATTACCTTGGTGACTGGAACTTGATACCTCAAACCTTAAAGTCACAAAATATACCCACATAACAAACCTGAACATGTACCCCACGAATCTAAGATAAATGTTGAAATTATTTTAGAAAATATATTTCTGTATACTTTTTGATGGAGGGATAAAACCTAGCTATGTATTGATAGCTGTACATAAAAAAAAATGCTAAAACAATGTGCTTAAAATCAAGAGTTAAAATAGTGGGGATGGGGAGTTCTAGCAAAAAGTAGATAGGTATAGCAATTTTATTATTATATTAATAGGACAAGGCCGGGCGTGGTGGCTCACGCCTGTAATCCCAACACTTTGGGAGGCTGAGGCAGGTGGATCAGGAGGTCAGGAGATCGAGACCATCCTGGCTAACACAGTGAAACCCCGTCTCTACTAAAAAAAATACAAAAAATCACCTGGGCGTGGTGGTGGGTGCCTGTAGTCCCAGCTACTTGGGAGGCTGAGGCGGGAGAATCGCTTGAACCCAGGAGGCGGAGGTTGCAGTGAGCCGAGATTGCACCACTTCACTCCACCCTGGGCAACCGAGCAAGACTCCATCTCAAAAAAAAAAAAAAAAAAAAAAAAAAAAAAAAAAAAAAAAGCAAAAAGTTTTATCTCATTTTAGCAAGGATAAAAGTACACAAACATATCTATTATCCCTAAATCCCTAAATCTATGTGGGTGTACCCTAGGAAATATCAATTATATGCAGAAAAATAAAAATGCTGATAGAACTTCAAAGAATAATTGGAAATTTTGTAATCACAAAGAGCTGATAGCCTTTTCCAAAAGAAGTCCAAAATAAAAACAGAAAAAATATAACAGATTTAAATATCATAATTGATACACATGAGTTCTGTAGCTCATAGCTAGGAAACAATTGTTTTCAAAAACACATGACACTGAAATCTTGTACAGTAACTTTGGGCCAAAAGAAAAATCAACAAATGAGAAAGTGCCCATAATTTTACAGGCTGCATTCTCCAATGGCAACTTAATACGTTTAGGAAAATTAACAACAGGAGCAGATCCATTGTACTTCTCAGTGTTAAACCTTCATACAAGAAGATAATGCAGTCATATTTTTAAAATTATGATGAGAAGAAAACCTTCACACCTTACTATTTATATTCTTCATTTAAGTGTGAAGGTAAAGAATGTAAAATTTTCAATCATGCAAGGTCTCAGGAGAACTTTTACAAAAATTTAGGAAATGATCTTCAGGATTTAGAGCTGACAAAGAGTTCCTAGATGTGACTCTACAAGCATGACTTCATAAACAGGAAAAACTGATAAATTGGGAAACTCTTGCTCTGTGAACGTCCATACGAAAATGAAACAAAAGCAGACTACAAACTCGAAGAAGATATTTCCAAGCCATATATCTAACAAAGGACTAGTATTTAGAAAAGATAAAGACTTCTCAAAACTCAACAATAAAAATCCAATCAATTCAATTAAAAATGAGCAGAAGACATGAACAGATATATTACTGAAGATGATTTAAGATGGCAAATAGCACACGAAAACATCTTCATCCTCATTAGCCATCACAGAAATGCAAAGAAAGGCCATAAGATATTACTACAAACTTATCAGAATGATGAAAATAAAAAAATATAGTGACAGTACCAAATACTGGTAAGAATCTGTAGAAACTAGATTAATCACATATTGCTAGTGAGAATGTAAACTGGTAAAGCCACTCTGAAAAGCAGTTGGTTAATTTGTTATTAAACTAAACAGGCAATGACCACATGACCTAGCGTTGCAATTTCAGACATCTATCCCCCAAAATAACACCTTTGGGGAAGTTGATAATTACAGAGGTTAGAAAAACTGTAGAAAGTACAGGTTTTGGAGGGTTGCATATTGGAGATTTGCTTTAAGTTAAATTTGAAAACTCTATTTTATATCCCAGTGAAGACGTTATGTCAGCAGTTGGATAGATAAATGTAGAGTGCAAGGCAGTGATCTAGGCTGGAGCATACATTTGGAAATCTTGGACTTCCAAATTACTTTAAAACTATGATACTCAATGCTATCATTAAAACATTGACCATAGTTTTAAAAGTTTTCCAGGGAATAAACCATAGGATATTTCAATGTTATGAAGTTGGGGAGATAACACTGAAACAACAAAGTAAATTAAGGCAGAGTAATCAGTAGAAAGGGGGAAAAAATGTATGTCATTTTCCATAATTGTGATTATCCTTTATGTTTCTACATATACTATTACTTTAGTGAATTACATATTTTGTATGAAATCAACTTTGTATTTTAAAACAAATACAACTTGATCATGAAGTATTGCTTTTTTATACATTGTTAAATGTTTAGGATTGTGAAATCAATGTTTGTGAGTAATACTGGCCTTATATCAAACCCACCTTTGTTTCTAAGTTTTAGTATCCCATTAAAAAAATTCTATGATTGTTTTCCCAAAATTTGTCAGCCGATGAAGCATACTGATAGCAAACACATTAAAAAGATAGAATTTAGTTAAAACTGGAGTATAGGTAAGGAACAAAAAATAAACTGTGGAAGAGAAAAGTGAACTCAGAAATAGATCCATGTATGTATGACAAGTTGTTGTATGATAGAGGTATACCATAAACCTATAAATAAAAATGAATCACTCAGTCCATAATATGAGGAAAACCAGTTTACTATAAGAAACAAAATAAGCTTGACTTCCTACGTCTTATCCAAATAAACATTATTAAAAATACAAGTGAGAAAGGCTCTATATTGAATAATAATAATAAAAAATATGCAAAAGAACATTTATGTGACTTCTTCAAGGAAGTGAGGGAATGGTACTTATACAAATATCTAAATATAGAACATTTAACTTTAAAATGTAGACTTCAACAAAATTAAACTTGGGATATTTTAGTTTCCAAAGGACAACAACAAAAAACCTAACAAGTGACAGATTAAAGACACACTCATAACATATAAGACTTCTAAAGAATATTACCTAGGCTACATAAGAAAGTGCTCCTTAGCTTCAAGTAAAGGGCTGCAAACTCAATTAAAAAGATTATAAAGACTTTAAATGGTTCTATAAAGGAAATCCACATGGCAAATGAATAAATGAATAGATGTGCATATTCACTAGTAATCACAGAAAATTAGGTTAAAACAAATGAACTATGTCTTCCATCTATCATAAGGCAAAAATTTCAAACGTCAGATTAAAAAGTCTTAACAAGGATGTGGGAGAATGAGTATTGAGAATTGTTACTGCATTGTGAACTATCATGGCTTCTGGAGAGAAATTTGATAGTGAATAGCAAAAATAATTATGTGTATATAGTGTGGCACAGCAATTCTGCGCCTGTGGATATATCTCCAAGGAGCTCACATGTAAGTCCTCAAGGGGATATGTACAATGCTATTCATCACAATGTGTTTGTGAAAGCACAGTACTTGAGGCAGCCCTGGCGGTTAATGGCAAATAAAATGTGGTGGTGGCTTAACCTTGCATACTATGCATCCATTGGTAGCAGTCAGCTAGGTGTATATAAAATAACAATGATAGATCTTAAAATATATTGCTTATAAAGTATAGATATCTTCTGTAATAATGTATTTTTATAAAGAATCAGCATATTAAAGCAACAATAATGATTTTTTTTCATAGATAGTTACAAATTCAAAGACAGATTAAAATACATTTATTTTGGAGGGGAGAGACTGTAGGTGGAAGCAAAATGGGAGTGATGAAGGGGGATAATGGAAAAACTAATAGTGAAGTCAAATGAAAGAAGAAAGAATTACACAGACCAATGTACAATGGACCAAGAAGCTTGACTAACTCAAATCTTTGAAACTTACTTCTCTCCAAAATGAAGTAATAATAAACCTTAAATAAACAACGTATAATTTTTTATCTATCAGAATGGCAAAAGTTAAGAGGAGTGGATGATATGTGGAACTTAAGACAGTGTGAGGAAATTACCGTTTTTTTTTTTGAATTTTATTTTTTTAATTTTATTTTATTATTATTATACTTTAAGTTTTAGGGTACATGTGCACAATGTGCAGGTTAGTTACATATGTATACATATGCCATGCTGGTGTGTTGCACCCATTAACTCGTCATTTACCATTAGGTATATCTCCTAAAGCTATCCCTCACCCCTACCCCCACCCCACAACAGTCCACAGAGTGTGATGTACCCCTTCCTGTGTCCATGCGTTCTCATTGTTCAATTCCCACCTATGAGTGAGAATATGTGGTGTTTGGTTTTTTGTTCTTGAGATAGTTTACTGAGAAGGATGATTTCCAATTTCATCCATGTCCCTACAAAGGACATGAACTCATCATTTTTTATGGCTGCATAGTATTCCATGGTGTCTATGTGTCACATTTTCTTAATCCAGTCTATCATTGTTGGACATATGGGTTGGTTCCAAGTCTTTGCTATTGTGAATAGTGCCGCAATAAACATACGTGTGCATGTGTCTTTATAGCAGCATGATTTATAGTCCCTTGGGTATATACCCAGTAATGGGATTGCTGGGTCAAATGGTATTTCTAGTTCTAGATCCCTGAGGAATTGCCACACTGACTTCCACAATGGTTGAACTAGTTTACAGTCCCACCAACAGTGTCAAAGTGTTCCTATTTCTCCACCATCCTCTCCAGCACCTGTTGTTTCCTGACTTTTTAATGATTGCCATTCTAACTGGTGTGAGATGGTATCTCATGGTGGTTTTGATTTGCATTTCTCTGATAGCCAGTGATGGTGAGCATTTTTTCATGTGTTTTTTGGCTGCATAAATGTCTTCTTTTGAGAAGTGTCTGTTCATGTCCTTTGCCCACTTTTTGATGGGGTTGTTTGTTTTTTTCTTGTAAATTTGTTGGAGTTCATTGTAGATTCTGGATATTAGCCCTTTGTCAGATGAGTAGATGGCAAAAGTTTTCTCCCATTTTGTAGGTTGCCTGTTCACTCCGATGGTAGTTTCTTTTGCTGTGCAGAAGCTCTTTAGTTTAATTAGATCCCATTTGTCAATTTTGGCTTTTGTTGCCATTTCTTTTGGTGTTTTAGACTTGAAGTCCTTGCCCATGCCTATGTCCTGAATGGTAATGCCTTGGTTTTCTTCTAGGGTTTTTATGGTTTTAGGTCTAACATTTAAGTCTTTAATCCATCTTGAATTAATTTTTGTATAAGGTGTAAGGAAGGGATCCAGTTTCAGCTTTCTACATATGGCTAGCCAGTTTTCCCAGCACCATTTATTAAATAGGGAATCCTTTCCTCATTGCTTGTTTTTCTCAGGTTTGTCAAAGATCAGATAATTGTAGATATGCGGCGTTATTTCTGAGGGCTCTGTTCTGTTCCATTGATCTATATCTCTGTTTTGGTACCAGTACCATGCTGTTTTGGTTACTGTAGCCTTGTAGTATAGTTTGAAGTCAGGTAGTGCGATGCCTCCAGCTTTGTTCTTTTGGCTTAGGATTGACTTGGCGATGCGGGCTCATTGTTGGTTCCATATGAACTTTAACGTAGTTTTTTTCCAATTCTGTGAAGAAAGTCACTGGTAGCTTGATGGGGATGGCATTGAATCTATAAATTACCTTGGGCAGTATGGCCATTTTCACAATATTGATTTTTCCTGTCCATGAGCATGGAATGTTCTTCCATTTGTTTGTATCCTCTTTTATTTCATTGAGCAGTCGTTTGTAGTTCTCCTTGAAGAGGTCCTTCACATCCCTTGTAAGTTGGATTCCTAGGTATTTTATTCTCTTTGAAGCAATTGTGAATGGGAGTTCACTCATGATTTGGCTCTCTGTTGGTCCGTTTTTGGTGTATAAGAATGCTTGTGATTTTTGCACATTGATTTTGTATCCTGAGACTTTGCTGAAGTTGCTTATCAGCTTAAGGAGATTTTGGGCTGAGACAATGGGGTTTTCTAGATATACAATCATGTCATCTGCAAACAGGGACAATTTGACTTCCTCTTTTCCTAGTTGAATACCCTTTATTTCCTTCTCCTGCCTGATTGCCCTGGCCAGAACTTCCAACACTATGTTGAATAGGAGTGGTGAGAGAGGGCATCCCTGTCTTTTGCCAGTTTTCAAAGGGAATGCTTCCAGTTTTTGCACATTCAGTATGATATTGGCTGTGGGTTTGTCATAAATGGCTCTTATTATTTTGAGATATGTCCCATCAGTACCTAATTTATTGAGAGTTTTTAGCATGAAGGGTTGTTGAATTTTGTCAAAGGCCTTTTCTGCATCTATTGAGATAATCATGTGGTTTTTGTCTTTGGTTCTGTTTATATGCTGGATTACATTTATTGATTTGCATATATTGAACCAGCCTTGCATCCCAGGGATGAAGCCCACTTGATCATGGTGGATAAGCTTTTTGATGTGCTGCTGGATTCAGTTTGCCAGTATTTTATTGAGGATTTTTGCATCAATGTTCATCAAGGATATTGGTCCAAAATTCTCTTTTTTGGTTGTATCTCTGCCCGGCTTTGGTATCAGGATGATGCTGGCCTCATAAAATGAGTTAGGGAGGATTCCCTCTTTTTCTATTGATTGGAATAGTTTCAGAAGGAATGGTACCAGTTCCTCCTTGTACCTCTGGTAGAATTCGGCTGTGAATCCATCTGGTCCTGGACTCTTTTTGGTTGGTAAGCTATTGATTATTGCCACAATTTCACAGCCTGTTATTGGTCTATTCAGAGATTCAACTTCTTCCTGGTTTAGTCTTGGGAGGGTGTATGTGTCGAGGAATTTATCCATTTCTTCTAGATTTTCTAGTTTATTTGCATAGAGGTGTTTGTAGTATTCTCTGATGGTAGTTTGTATTTCTGTGGGATCAGTGGTGATATCCCCTTTATCATTTTTTATTGCGTCTATTTGATTCTTCTCTCTTTTCTTCTGTTGAAACGGGAAAAGTTTCCTGTCTCCCTTACAGGGTGGGTGATGGGGGTGTGGCCCACTTCTTCAGTGCCCTGCTGCTCAAACCTCTAGGGTGAGCATGCAGACAGGCCGGCTGTGGGGCTGAGACCGCATGGCAGGGTCTAGGTTTGAGTGTTTACCTCTCCTGAAGCCCCAGTGGGCATGTCTTACAGGGTGCTCTTTTAGTTTAGCCATCTGCAAGTGGCTTGTGTTAATCAGCTCAATTAGACCCTCTGCCTTACTCATAAGGAGAGAGGGCTTTCTCTATCCTGGAGTTCTTGCCTTAGTGTACCAGAAAAGTCGGATCACACGCGGGCTTGGAGAACGAGTGCAAGGTTTTTTTTTTTTTTTTTTTTTTTTTTTTGAGACGGATTCTCGCTCTGTTGCCCAGGCTGGAGTGCAGTGGCTGGATCTCGGCTCACTGCAAGCTCCGCCTCCTGGGTTCACGCCATTCTCCTGCCTCAGCCTCCAGAGTAGCTGGGACTACAGGCGCCCGCCATCACGCCCGGCTAATTTTTTGTATTTTTAGTAGAGACGGGGTTTCACTGTGTTAGCCAGGATGGTCTCGATCTCCTGACCTCGTGATCTGCCCACCTCAGCCTCCCAAAGTGCTGGGATTACAGGCGTGAGCCACCGTTGAGAGCCACCGTTGAAGCTCTCAGGAGATGGATGGGGAGCCAGAAGGCGGATGGAGTAGGAAGGTGGTTTTCTCCTCGAGTTGGGCTGCTCAATGGCGGGATTCTCCTCCATGGCCCAGCCCAGATTCCTGTCACCATGTTGTTCTGCCATAGATGGCCTACTGGCATCTGCTGGTGTCTGCTGGTGTGTTCCTCTGCCGGTGTGTTCTTCTCGACGTACAGCTACTTGTGTGTTCTTCCTCTGGTGTGTTCCTCTCAATGTCCAGCTGCTTGTGTCTCTGCCCACTAGGGTCTTGGGGTTTTTATAGGCACAGGATCAGGGCATGGTGGGCCTGGGTGGTATTGGAAAATGCAACATTTAGGCATGTAAACAGAAATACTTGTCCTCACCTAGGTCCGTGGGCACTCACCTGGAGGTGGACCCCTAGCCAGGGACCTGCCTTTCTCTACGCAGCACTTCCCTGAACCCTCCCGTCTCACTTTCTTCTGGTGGTGGTTGGAATGTATATTAATGCAGCTTTTTTGAAGAGTGAGCTTTCATTGTCTTGAAATATTTCCAACATGTTTTGGAGAATTGTTTTTAACCACAGCAAAAACTGAGTAATGAACCATTCAGCTTCTCTGGATACCTATCCATAACACAAGCAATGGACAAGGGTATTTCCTGCAGCTTGTTCACAAAGGATAAAATTAGATATAATCATATATTCACTAATCAGTATGTTAAAAATATTGGGATACATGTACACTATATAATACTGTGTAACAATAAAAAGAAAGAAGTTGATCCACAAGTGGTGCTATGGATAGATAATTAACATATTGTTAATTACAAAAGAAACCAATCACCCAAATATGCATAGTGTATGACACCAATTATGTTAAAACAACTAATTTAATACAAAACTCTTTTTATGCATACATATGTAGATGCATAGCAGCAGTATAAATATTCATCAACTTGAAATTAGTAGCTGTGTATAAAAGGTCAAATAAGACTTCATAAATTTCCAGTGTGTCTTATTGCATCTTGCATGCATGTATTTGTGTATATTTGTGTGTAACTTTAAAAGTAAATATTATCTACCTTCTACAGATAACATCAAATATCATGTCCTAAATCTTGTTCTGCATGTTCCTCTTAAGAGATTCTTCAGTTAAATAAGCTTGAAGTTTAATTCAACATAATTCTTTCTCTTAGAAATTTAAAAATACATAACATATTGCAGTCTGAGAAATGTGAGGCAAAAAATATTTTGAGCTTTTATCTAGTCAGTGTTGCCTAAACTAACATTCTTTTATCCCCTAAGGAACACCTAGTGACTTTTTTTGTAGACAAGAATGTATTATAAGAAAAAAAAAAAAAAAAAACCCATGAGTTTGAAAACACTGTAAAAGGAAGAGAAGAAAATAAATGAGGAAAGGCAAAGAGAAAAAGAAAAAAGCCTAATTCTTAAAATGTCACTATGATTCAGTATAAAACTTTCATCTGAGTTTCCTGCCCACTGAGAGAAGGAAAACTGTTACATTAAATACTTCTTCTTTTTTTGTAAAGGAAAGAAATGAGTTCTAGTTAAATAAAGTTTTTCTTAGCACTAAATTCTGAAAGAAATATCAAATTTGGTGAATTATGTAGATGTCACTGAGTCATATGGTTGAGAACATCATGAACATTGTGATATGTATTCAGATTTCAATGTACCATTATATTACAATTTAGCAAAAATGTTTTATTTACATAAGAACGACTGATTTTTTTAAACTTTTAATGATAAAAGTATCAATAAGTGAAACCTAAAATACCTAGAGGAATGGATAAACATCATACTTCTTATCTATACACTGTAATACATAAGCATGATTCAACATCCATTCATTCATTAATCCAAAAGAAGCATTTTTCATCAGGCAATTTGCATCAGGTACTATTCTAAGAAAACTTAGAGTTTTTAAGAAGACTTTTGATCTGTAAAATTTGAGTTGCTCAGAGTCTACAGATATCTCTCACTGTACGTACTAGGTTGCCAGAAACAAGCCAGAAATATTAGGAGGCCCCAAAGAGACTAAAATAGCCTTAGTCACCCAAAATTAGTAAATTCTGAAAGTTTATATTTTAAAGATGTTATTAAGCACATGGTGTAATAACTTAAAAGATAAAATTATCTTATTTTTGAAGACCAAAAACAGAGGAGAAGAATTATATTTAAGGCTCAAATAATAATTTATATTGCAAAAAATTCTTTCTGATATCCTCACCTTCTAAAATGTAGAATTTGGCAGTCATCTGGCTTATTGATCATCATAATACTGATATGCCTATACATTACTATTACATGTTTTCTATGGGCCAGACACTCTATGTGGCCCTTCACTTCCCTCTGAGCAAGGTTAATATCTTTTACTTCTACTTTATAGTGAAGGAAAATGATACTCAGAGAGATTAGGCAATGTTACGAAGTCACAGAAACAATAGAAGAGTGTCAACCTGACTCCAGATCTCAAACATTTACTTCAACCTTTGAACTGAAGTTGGTCTTTCCAAATAATCGTTAAACAATATCACAACAATACTGTGACACTATTAATAGAAATAGCATTCACAAAGTCAATATTGTACAAAGCACTGTCAGCTCATTTCCATTTGTGATCAATGAGGTAATATGTGATGAGACTCTGAGCTTTGGGGAAAAGATATAGAAGTGGAAGATGTCTTTGCTCTTGAAATCTTGACAATACCCAAATACTGCTTTTGCCCTTTCTGGAGTCTTGTAGCTCAACTTTCTAATGGCTTTGAGGGAATGAAGCCTTGTTCTTGTCCTCTCCACCTGCCTGCTTTATTTTCTCTCCTCATTTGTTCCAGATAGTAAGGTACCTTGTAAGGTCATGGCCAATTTCTGCTCTAATTTTAGATCTTGGAGGTCACAGTGTTTCAAATGTGGTATTTACTATTTGTCTGTAACTGGTAATTTTCCCACAGACTCCTGGGGATTAACTCTGTCCTGTCATCTGGCATTGCCCTAGGAAATAATAAACTATGTTTCCCCTTAACCACTACAGCAACAGGAAAATATTTGTTGGCTCCTTCCTTTGAAAGTAACTAAAGAAATGTAAATGAGAATCGAAAACACCACCATCTTAGGCTATAAAAATTGCATAGGTTTATAGATAGATATATATATATATATATATATATATATATATATATATTTTCTGGTGAACAGTTGTTAACCACAGAAACTAAACCACACAAACGACATATATCTTAAGTGTTTTATTTTCAAATATCCATCTGGTTCAGTTGTTTTAGGTAATTATTTTCCCCCTTGTGGCATTTGCTCTGTAACAATGCATGGATAATTGCATCCGTGAAGACTCCTGCAGTGCTATAATAACTATACAAACTGAAAGATGGTTTTTCAATGGAATAAAGCAATCCTAAGGATTACATAAGAGCTCTATAATCAATATTGCACAATTGTTGAATGAGGCACAGAAATGAGAAAAAAATTCTTGTTAAAAACGAAACACATGAAAGGCCTCTTTGTTCTTCCTATGGTAAACAGACTTTCTACAATTAGATAGAGGTAAAATATTTTACCAGGAATAAGAATATTTCCAAATTCTCTAGGCTATTTTCTGATAACTTGATATTTTATGCACAGAACAACGTTTGGCAAATGGTAGAAAGCCTAATCAACGGTTACATCTAATTGCATTTCTACATAGTAAATATATAACTTAGTGATTAGAAGTAAACAAAGCAAAATGTTTACATTATATGTATTATTTATATTTTTCAAATATTTCTTAGCTTTTACACACAAGCACATTATTATTTTTAAGAGGTGAAAGTAATTTTAAAAACAAAATGAATAAAATCAAAGTTTGCCCCATTATTGTCTAGTTTCTAACTTCTAAAAAGAATTCATTCACTGACTCCTCACTCCTTTCCTGACTAAATTGGGTCTTTCCACTCTAATCTCATAGATTCTTATCAAATTAATATCAACAAACAATATACTTTCTTATAGCTGTTGGTTTATACACCTGCCCCACTACTGTGCAAACCTCTTTAACACATGGAGCATGGTGTATTCATGACCAGTTTCTTTTCCCTTTGTATGGCACTTTGCATGTAGTAAGTGTTAGAGAAAAGCTATCATCAGAATAAAGCACATCATTAGCTTAGTAATGATACAGTGGCATTAATAACACTGTGTTAACATTCAAGTCCATGTTCCCTAACTTCGAAATAATTTGGATACCTTCATTATGTGAGAAACCAACAGGGGCCAGTCAATTACCTATGATTATACTTTATATAGTCATGTAACTTGCACATAGAGATTTTCTAGTGTCGTAAGCCAGTTTTTCATGTTGAGACATCGAACTTCAAAAGAATGTTTATGTTTCTTAAAATGACAGAAGCATCACTAAGCACTCTGTCAAACCTCAATTTTAAATGCCATTTCTTTGAGTATTTCTCATAATCAACCTTTCTCAAATCCCAATCAATGCACATTAAGCGTTCTAATAGATTTCTCTGATAAAAATATATCAGTGATTATGCTCCTCCCTCATTTGTAAGGCACCTTTGAAAATGTTTTATCTTTTTTAGACCACTAAATGACTTTCATGGTAAGGCCACATTAAATAGTGTGCAATTCAATACAACTACATTTTCCCAAAAGGCCAAACAGGATTTTTCCTTTAAAACTTTAAGTTATTGCATGAGTAATATATTATCGTACATGAAAATAGAATCTCAAGAAAACCTTGGATTACTCAAATTCTCAGTCAACTCTATATAAATGTTGCAAAGAGGTTGTAAGTTAATGTGTGTGGTGACAAATATTGTTTGACTCATAAGCAGAAACAGGAAAAAGTAAAATGTATTGCATCTTAGTGAAATCTTGCAATTACATTGACCCACGTAACAACAACCTTCCTTTTTGTTTTTAGATTTGAAGGGTACAAAGTATAAAATGTGAAAATTTAAATTAATGAGGAACTCTTGTATAGATAAAGTACATTTTAATGTAAGCCTAAATTAAAATTAAGTTTGCAAATCATGAAGTCCTAGAAGTTAACCATATGTCCATGGATGGGGCAACTTACACTAAAGATGTCAATTCTACAAATGTTTAGATATTAATGAACAGCAAACAGTACAAAAAGCCAGCAGGATTTTGGGAGTTTCTTAATAAATTCAGTTATAATTTAAAGGAAATTATTTACCAATAGTTAAGATTATTTTTTAAAAAATAGAGCAAACTGGTGAGACTTGCCCCATTCCCCAATATATTAATGCATATATTAAGGCATCAATAATTAAAATGATAATATTTGTGTAAAGATAAATAGGCCAATGTAATAAATTAGTGAGAGACTGGAAGATATATGTACATCCATAATCTATGAAGGATTAATATCTGGTATATAGAATACATTTCTATAAATAAACAAGAAAGTCAATTTATTCATTCAGTAAACAAATGTGGTTTACTTTGGTGCAGAATGTTTGAATGTGCTAAAAAAATTAATTCATTTAATCTTCATAATAACACCATGAGGTGCAAAATATCATTTTGTGTCTTTTTTTTAATCTTATTTTATCTTTTTACAGACAGTGTCTTGCTCTGTCACCCAGGCTGGAGTGAAGTGGCATGACCTTAGCTCACGGCAGCCTCAAATTACTGGGCTTAAGTGATCTCTTTCAAATCAAGAACCTGAGACACAGAGAATTAAGTAACTTGTCAAAAGTCCCACCGTTTGGTAAGTGGTGGATTTGAACCCAGACAGTAAGTCTCCTATATTGATATGCTACTCCTCAATAGGATAGGAAAACCAAGAGAAAACTGAGCAAAGGATCTAAAGAAGAATTTATGGAATAGGGAATCTTAATAACAAAGGGGAGACATACCTATTGCTCTTCCAGTTATCCTAGCAATTAGCTCCACAGAAAGGACTAAGGTCTTCAGTGATAAAGCCTCTGGGGCCCAAACCCCACAAGTCGCTCAACTTCTGAGGTCAAGATGTTTCTCTCACTGGCAGAGCTAACTCTGGTGTTGGAAAGTAAGACCTAAATTCTCACTCTGGGGCTTCTGCTCTCATCTGGCAGCTACCAAATGCATAACTTTAAACAAACTAGGCAACCACCACATGTACATGGATCAACTTGCATCTGGCAAATATTCCTGACCCAACCAAGGAGACAAAAATGGGACCTGATTGCCATAGACATATTTGTGGGCAATGGAGCTGCCGTGTTCTTTCTGGAGTAGATAATGCACATATAGCTATTGAAAATATCGTTCAGGCATGGAAATTTCCCAACCTAATAAAATTTGTCAGTGGGATTCTGCTTATGCCTGCCACTGCCCTAGGCCTCTCAGCATGGCATTTGGTGGTTTAACTCACTATCAGTCATGGGGAGCAAATACCACTGAGCAATGAGACGACTCTCTCAAAGACTATCTGCAACAATTTCTCCTGCAACAATTTGACAGGGTTGTCTGTTTCACCTATCCTTGGTTATGTGAACTCTTAAAAAAAATGAACACTGCCCTACTCTGCAAGGACTTTCTGCTGGGTGAAACTCTTAGGCATGTGGGTGTCAGGCATGGGAAATAAGACAGTTCATCTGGTAATTCAGGATCCTTGTATTTCTATACCACAATATAAGGAGTATTATTTATTTAACACAAATAGAACATAATATACCTACTGGCCTGCATATTTTTCTTTTCACTGAACACATCTTGGAGATGTTTCCATTTTAGTTCATAGATTTCCTTTTTTTTTAAGGTTAGAGTAACACATTTTTACCTGAGGTCTAAGGACTCCAAAGTTTCTGTATCTCAAAACTCACTCTTTCCCTCTAATTCACACGAATCTTCACCAAGGTGAATAGATGGAGATTTACAATTCATCGAATGAGTATGACTGGATGGATATGATGTAAATGATTTTGGATCCTTGCTACTAGGATAACACCATATCATTTCTTGGGGATTTTATGATTCGATGTCTCTGGAAGTGAGGAATATTGCTATGGTTATCATACATTTTCTACACATTTCCTTTCTATTGCTGTTGTTGTTGTTGTTCTTCAGAAGTCATCATTGGAGGCAGAAGCATTTCTGTGGGATTTCTATAGAGTTTATGCCTACTGGAGAATAACAAGAATACTAGCTATTTCCCAAAGCAACAATTTATGCATGAACACTCCTGACCTTTAGAAGCTAGGGAAGGGTGCTCAGAGCGTGGATAAATTATCTTTCTTCTCTCTTACTATAGAAATGACCAGCCCAAAAGCTGGCTAAAGCTTTCCCAGTTTGTGGCTGATAGTGATGTTTCAAATGTTGCCCACAGTCTGCTCAAGATGTAGGAAATCTTTTTAGATCCCATTCCCTTCCCTAGACAATTCCTAGTGATTCCTAGACAATTACTTCTTGGTAACTGTCACAGCCTCTTTAGTCTGTATGCTTTGGTCCTTCACATAGATGTTTTCTTCAACCACATGAATTATATCAAACTTTCCTCATTTCCTCCAGGCATAAAATGATATGCTTGTTCTGATATCTTCGCTCTTAGGAAAGTTTGCAACTACTTCACATAGCAGTGCTTACTGCAAAAGCCATGATTGCAACTTTCTCCACATCCTTGAGGTAACCAAATCTTGTCACCATCTTAAAGAGCAGAAAATCTATATGACCAAGCAGAAGATAATCAATACTGGCTGGATACATAATGTCACCTCAAAATAAACTGTTAGTACACACTTTGTGTCCCCTAGGACTTATTTTTCTCTGAAGTAGGCAAGCTCTCTCTTGCAACCACATAGATATAATACTATTTGCATTCTGGTGGGAATTATATGATCCTTCATGATGACCCAAGAACCAGAGGTGAGGGGGACAAATCACATTACCAGGATTTTTGCACTATCAGCAGCATTCTTAGGCTAATGCAGGATATGTGGGCCTTGGGCCTTCACCTAATGAAATTAAAAAAAAAAAGGACACTAAGTCATCCTTCAGTCTGATCCCAGGAGTATATGTGTGCGTGGTGTGTGTGTTCTGAAGTTGGACTTTATACCAAATGGTTTAGATGATTCTAAAAATCCTTCTAATGATAATTTTATTAATTCTACAGTTTCTATACTTAGGTAATATCCATTTATTTATTTATTTTTATTATTATTATTTTTTACCATTTTCTTTCTTTCTTTTTTTTTTTGTTTTAAGACGGAGTGTCACTCTGTTGTCCAGGCTGGAGTGCAGTGGTGTAATCTTGGCTCACTGCAACCTCTGCCTCTCAGGTTCAAGTGATTCTCCTGCCTCAGCCTCCCATGTGGCTGGGACTACAGGTGCGTGCCACCACGCCCAGCTAATTTTTTGTATTTTTAGTACAGACAGGGTTTCACCATGTTAGCCAGGGTGGTCTCGATTTCCTGACCTCGTGATCTGCCCCCTTCACCCTCCCAAAGTGCTGGGATTACAGGCTTGAGCCACCACGCCCGGCCAACCATTTTCAAGAGAAACTAGAAGCTGCACTAAAGGTTCAACTAATTTCCACCCTTGATGGGAAGGCTTATGTTTAATCAGTTCTTCTAGGGACCAGTGTGTAACCAAGAAGATACTTAGCCATTTGCTGAATGAATGGATGGATGATCCAGGCAGTTCTCCATTTGGGTAGCCTATCAGTGAACTGGCTCTGTACAAGGGTCTGCAAAGTCTCCATCTTACACTGGTCCTGGAAACCAAATTCCTTTAGGCAACTCAGGAAATCAGGATATGCCTCTTATCAGCAAGGTCATACCAAAGAACGGGAAAGTCAAGATCTTTTGATTCCCATTGTTACACGGTAGATCAGGTGCCCTGTGTCTCCTCCCAATTTTTCATTGATCATATAAAGAAGATTATTGGAGTACCTGGAGCATAAACTTGAATGTTTCCACATCAAGCCCAGCTATATTAGGCCAGCGGAATTGTGAGCACTCCAGAAACTGCATATAATCAGCTGCCATTCTTTCTGTAAGTTTTTACAGTAAATTTGCTTTGTGCTGGTATTATATGTCTATTATCTCTGCTATGAGGCTTAGCTATATAATAAATATTGAGATGCTCAAGCTTACTAGTAATCACAAAAAAAGCAATTGAAACAAAAAAGACAAAAAAAGGAAAATAGTAAGACCTAGCCAGGCTATGAGAAAAGGAAAATACTGAGGTAGTTTACAAGAAATGTACATTTTTACTCCTAGTCTCGCAATATATTTTGAGCTTTAGTTGGTATATAGTCAAGAATACAGATGAAAATGTAAATGAGGATGATTTTCACAGCATTGTCATGGTAGAAAAAAATTGACAGGTAAATTAATGCCCATCTCTAGGGGAATAGATAAATATTATGTGCTATAATAGTGAATGAATAAAATACATGAATTAAGCATATATGTGAAACATTGGTAAATTTCAAAAACATCAAAAATATGGTTAATGAAAAAAGAAGGAGAAAATCAAGTTTATTAAGCAATGCTGTTTAATTAAATTTAAAGGTACATATTTTAACAGACACTTTACAATAAAGGATGTGTGATTTTCAAATACAAACAATATACAATTTTATTAATAAGCAGGGAAAAGAAAATTAGAACCACACATGTATAATGCCGCATGCAACAGATGAATCAAATAAGAAAAGACATAACACTAATTATTACCAAAGACATGGAACAACCACAGTTCTCTTTAACGATTCCTGGATTGTGAATTAGTATGATGATTTTAAGGAAATGTTTAACAGAATGTAGTAAGTTGAACATATGTATACCCCAGGACCTAGTAATTCTTGGTCTAGGTATACACCCCAAATAAACACATACATGTGTTCACAAAAAAAATGTGCAAAAATGTTCCTCGCAACTAATCATAAAAGTCTAAACCCAGAAACTATCCAGATGTTCATCAATAGTAGATTGTATGCTAAACATGGTCAGTGCCCTGACCATATACGATGGGCCTTTCCATTGTACTGTGTATCAGACTGATTTCCAGCTGCTAGCATCTGTATCTCATTGCCTGAGGCCTTTCTCTAGTGGTTGAATTTCACTCTACCACAGGCACAGCAGGCAGTAAATGTCAGAGAATTAGTGCTCTCTGGGAGCAGACCTGAACCAAAGAGTATTGGCGTTGTATGCATGAATACCTTAACTTGCTGTTTCTCCATTGAGTTAACTCTGAAGCAGGAGTTCTACATTACCTTCCAGATAGCCACCTTGGGATTAAGCTCTAGCTACCTGCAAGGACAACTGGCTTGATAATTCCTCTCTTTCTGCTTTACTTCCTCACTTACTAGTCTCCTACAAATACCCCTGTCCTTATAAACACCATTGTTTCTAAATAAGATACTTTCATAGGAGCAGTAGCAATTATAGAAGCTGTGGAAGTGATTGAGTGTTTTAAAGTGCCTGTGATGCACTGATGGAAGAAACTAATAGGACGAAATCAGCCAACTATCAACCCAGGGCACAGTGTGAAAGCCAGAAGACCTTGATGGTGGTATGTAAAGGACCCTCCTGTCATGCAACCAGAGAGCAGGTTGTGCTAAAAATGAGGCCCAGAACCAAAGTTTGAGAATGCTAGAATCTCAAGGAAGGCTGAATTGATCATCTTGGCAAGGTTCCTATGCTAAATTCAGGCCCCTGAGAAAGAGTGTGACACTGAGACCTGGCTGGGGAGCATGTAGTTCAATATGCTGGAGAACTCAGCATCCCAAAATGTCTCTGACTCTTCTGAGCAGCAAAAATGACCCATTCTTCTTAACTGAAAAGGTTAACGATCTGTTCTTGGCTGTAAATGGTACAGAGACTGCATCACAAGATGATCTGTTCTCCTCGAAATCTATATCCACCTCTTCTTACTGCTTTTGGGCCAATAAATAGGGTCAGCTGTCAGCATTTGGCACAAATGGTTGTCCTTAACACACCATTGCCACATACTCTGGCTCAAGACATCATTACCTCTCAGCAAGATTATTACGAACACCTCCTAACTGGCTTCTTGTTATCATCCTTCACTTTTTACCATCTTTGCTTAACACACACACCAGCCAGAGCTGTCAACTTAAGGCTATTTTCTTCTCAAAATACTTCAGTGGTGTTCTACCTCAGAAAACAGACAAACAAACAAAAAACAACTCAAAATTCTCAAAATTGAGAAAGTGTTCTTCCTTTGATGACCCCATCCCCATATTTCTCTGATTTAAATCTTATTTCTCTTCCCTTCCTCAATCCATTCTATCCACTATGGCCTTCTAGTTATTCTTCAAACAAGGCAAGCATGATCCCACTCTGGGACATTTATAATAGTGGACATTTATAATAGTGTATCCTTTGCCCAAAGTGCAATGCTTCAAGATATTCACATTGTTTGCCTCCTTTATCTCTTTCAACTCTTCTTTGAAATATCACCTTAGTGCATTTATCTCTGACCACCTTATTAAAATTGTAAATTCTCTCTCTCCTCTGGAACGCACTATGAAACTTGTCTGCTTTATTTTTCTCCAAAGCTTTTATCATCTTCTGCTATATAATCTATTTCATATATTTAATCTACTTTATATATTTAACCTGTGTCATATTTTTCTTTCTATAAGAAGGTAAGCTTTACATATGCAGCTATATCTGTTTTACTCCCTTATATATCCTTCCCACTTAGAGCAATATCTGACACACAATAAGTGCTCAATTTCTAAGTGTTGAGTGAATTAATACACAAAGAATCAAAAAGAAAGGAAGAAAGAAAGAAAAAAGGGAAATAAATGGCAATAACAATAATTGTAGGACTAGTAGCTATATATTGCTGAAGGGCTACTAGCTGTTCTGTAATTAGACACTTTGAATCCTGTAAGTAAATGGTATCATTTCATAATTTCATAGGAAACTAAGCCTCTGGAACATCCAGTTATAACTTTAAGATCAAAGAGAAAGAGAATAACAGGATAATTTAAACTATTCCTGTCTGACTTCAGTCTCAATGGTCTTTCTATGTCTCAACATTCCTTTATGAACTAAATTCCAGAGGTAACACATTCTTTTTTAGTCATTTGCTATTTCAATCAAGAGATACATAGGCATATCTACAAACAATAAATAAATCTATTTGGTTGCAATAATATATACCGGTTAAGAGCACAGATGCTGGTATTTGATTGCACAGGTACACATTCTGGTTCCAAGAAGTACAGGTTAAAACACATTGGCATTTTTGCCCATCTCTCTGTGGCTCAGTTTTCACACCTGTAAAGGGGTAATAATAATATCTCCCTTGTCAGTTTTTTATAAGAATGAAGTAAACTAGCACAAATAAATAACACTTAGAATATTGATAAGCACAAATATGATGCTCACTTATATGACATAGCATTTTAATGTTTTAAAGTGTTTTCACAATGTTTTCATTAATGTATAGCAATTCCATGAGTTAGATAAGGATAATATTTTATTTTTTGATTTGGTAGCTATTTATCATTTAATTTTGGATATGTCTAGTCTAAGCTTTAGGTGTATAAAGGTAGATAAGACAATTCCTGTCCTCAAGAACATCCAGACAAGAAAAAATATATAGTGAAATAGATGCTTTGATAAAAGTAGCCTAAAGATATTGAGAAAATTGAAATGCACAGAGGTTAAAAAACCTGCCCAAGATTGCCCAGATAATAAGCCTTATCACTCCGTCTCCACTGTTCTTACCCAAAACATCAGGAAGAATCGTTGATAAATTCATCTTGTGAGGTGGGAGGTAAAGAGTCTGAGACTCCCGTTTGCTTCTAGGAAAATGTCCAACTTCTCCTTCCATTGCTGTAAAGGACTAATGCCATTCCTTTTTCCTTCACCTGGTCTCGTGAATGATGAGCAATTGCTCAGGTTCAATTATGTTGCTAAATCATAAATAATAATTCCTTTTGCAACACCAGGGAAGTGTAAGTGGATGATATGGTCATGAACTCTTATCTGATTGGTTCACAGAAGATTATGGTGAAGTCAACATTTTACTAAACTGGGAATTACAAAACCTGAATAAGACCTTGGGCAGATAATTTCACCTCTCTGGCCATGCTAAATGTTAGCTTTTACTAATACCTTTATGATCTCTAGAATGAGTTGGATGGAAATCTCATTATGAAAAAGAAAACCAAAATAAGGCACTGCATTACCTTAGAGATTGAGTTCATTTCTATGTTGATTTTTCACTGTCTTTTCCATCATGGCCAGTTTTATTTGTTTCTTAGGCTATGGGCTGTGTCTAGTGCACTGCTTTGTGCAGATTACAAATTCAAAAATATTTGTTCAATGAAAGAACTGTCATCCACACACAAAAAAAATATTAGTAACTCGGTGTTTAGAAAGACATGTCTATACATCGTTAGCTCTCCCTAATCAGACATAGTCTCATCTTTTACACTCAATTCATAACACCTGCAAGTCCTTTAGCATGTTCTATTTCATGCAAGGCGGCTTTCCCAGAAGAAAGACTGTGTTCTGCCACAGCTGCACCAATTAGTCTCCCTGCCTGAGAAGAGTGACAAAACTGATATTTTTCTGGATGAATGATAGACCTACTGGAGAGTCCACAAATCAAAATGTCAATTTTCTTTTCTCATTCAGTTTCCTTTGTGTTGTGTGTTTGTATATAATTTCTTCTACAAAAATGCCTTTGGATAGAGAAAAAAAATCTTATTTTTTCAAGTTTAAATATTGAAGCAGATCTGTGACAGATTTTGACACATTTTGGAATTACAGTTATTGCCTGTAAAGTGTGGAAACAGCATGAAGAGTTCTTTGGAAAGAATGATTTAAAAGTGCCAGTGATAACTAGAAAGAAGGCAGGCTAGTAGAAAACTAAAGGTAAAGTGTGCTCCTAATAATTATATGAAACAGAAAAATATGGACTTCCAACTCAAGCAGAAAGGTTTCAGTTCAAAATGTTTTCTGAGTATAATATTATCATTCATTTACAGTTTTGTCGTGGTCTAAAGATTTTATAGTATTTGAAATTTTTGTACAAATTTAAAAGAAATACATTTTATGCTCATATGTAATTAGTTGAAAACTAATGTTAAAAATCAGATTCATTCCTCTATTTGTTAAAATATTTCCAGTAATTACATTTTTGAAATAGTTTTTTGTATTGTTTTTGTTTTCATTGGTTTGCTTGTTTTTGATTCAGCTGTTTAAAAAGAGTTTTGAAATAATATGGGGAACTTAAGGTAAAAGGTGTTTTTAAAAATCTCTACTCACATAAATCTGAGAAAGCACATGACAAATAATAAAAGCATGAATAAGAAAGGAAATCAGAACATGAATTAATAGCTATAAATCATGAGACCCAGACAAGTTCCAGGTAAAATAAATGAACTATGCTTAAGGTCAAGGTTACTTGACTTTAGAATATGGTAATACTTTGAGTGGCTTTTGGGGACAATCCAATATCCCCTTCTTTGAGATCTAAAATAGCATAAGAGTCACAATTCCTGGGCTGAGTTCTGACATGGGCCACCTTAGTTGTACACAAATTCTCTTCTGAAGTTTTATTCATTCTTTCCATACAAAACATCTGAAATTCCTACAGTGTATGGTGGTATGCTAGCTGCTGCTAGGAGAAAAAAAGAAAGAAAGAAAATAGCTGTACCCAATAAGCTTACCTAGTAGTGGCAGAGCTAATATGTGTATCAAATTAATTTTAAATAGGATAGAAGGAAATACATCATAAGAGATAATAATGTGCTCCAAGAGTCTAGAATAAAACATATAACAGTCAAGATGGAGGGAATGTAAAAATTCTTAAGAGGAAATATTTGAACTGGATCTTAAGTAACAGGAGATATTTGGTTAAATGGAAGTAAAGAAAGAGATTACAGAAATGGTATACACAGAAGCAAGTATGTAATTTTATAAAAAGAATGTTTCGTAAGTAATTTAACTGGAGAAAAAGAAGAAGTCGTCCAGACTGCAAATTTAAATGAGAATGTGATTCTGAATGCCTGGAAACCACACCTGATCTTTCCAGAAGTGTTGTGAATAGGTTTTAAAAATGTTCTGTAAAATGTAAAATGTCATACAAATTTATGTTACTGTTATCAGACCTAAGTCTAAAAAATATGGAATGGGGTGGTGTTGATAATTTTAATCTACAATTAATAGCTATTAATAAAAATATGTCATATATGATTAAATAGGAAAAATATCAATATCATAGTGAAAATGAAATATGTGAGCCTGCAGGATCTGAGTCCTGCTTTGACAGTAAGTCCTTGAATATTTTTTTTTTTCAGATGGAGTCTTGCTCTGTCACCCAGCCTGGAGTGCAGTAGCGTGATCTCTGCTCACTGCAACCTCCGTCTCCTGGGTTTGAGCAATTCTCTGCCTCAGCCTCCTGAGTAGCTGGGATTACAGACATGTGCCACCAAATCTGGCTAATTTTTGTATTTTTAAATGTATCTTTCAATAGGGACAAAATGAATATGAAGAAACTAAATTCTAAAAATTTCAGATTTTTTTTCTGTGAATAAAACAGTAATTATTTTAAAGTGGCTTTTCTGATAAACAGTATTTTTATTTAGTTGCACAGTATGAGTAAGCTTTCAATAATTATCATAAGCAAAAAAGAACTTCATGTAATATGCAATCATTTCTCTTTCCTATATGATGAATGAAGGAAATATTAATAAAACATTATAGGCAATATCTCTCTTTCTATTCTATACTATAGGGGATATCTATCTTTGTATTCTATACTATAGGAAGTATCTGTATGCATTCCATACTGTAGGGAGTGTATACACACACACACACACACACACACACACACACATATATATATTTATTTATTTATGTACAGAAAACGAAAGTGGGGTACAAAAACAGCAGGCTTGGTTACAGCATGGCATTTGCCTAATTTGAACACAGATTGAACAGTTGGCCACCTGTGATTGGTTAAAGCATAGTTGCTATGATTAGATAACACTCAGCTAGTTGCTACACAAGCATACTCCTAAGTTAGGTTTTCAACTTATTTACATACCAATTTAGGTTATTATTTGTAAGAACTCAAGCATGGGACTATGGAGGCTTTCTCAGACCAAATGTAGTCTGATTTAACAATACAGGCACAACTTGTTTTATTGTGCCTTGTAGATATTGTGTTTTTTATAAATTGAAGGTTTGTAGCAATACTGCAAGTAGCAAGTCTATTGGCGCTATTTTTCCAACAGCATCTGCTCACTTTGTGTCTCTGTGTCAGATTTTGGTAATTCTCACAATATTTCAAACTATTAAGTTATTGTTATACCTGTTATGGTGATCTGTGATTATCATCTTTGATATTACTATTGCAATTGCCTGGGGCTCAATGAACCAAGCCCATATAAGAGTGCAAACTTAATTGATGAATATTAAGTATGTTCTGACTGCTCCACCAACCCAGCATTACCCCTTCTCTCTCCGTCTTTTCAGGCCTCTCTTTTCCCTAAAATAGAACAATATTAAAATTATAACAACTTATAACCCTACAATGGCCTCTATGTGTTCAAACTGAAGCAAAGAGTTGCATGTCTCTCACTTAAAATCAAAAGCTAGAAATCATTAAGGTTAATGAAGAAGCCGTGCTGAAAGCTAAGATAGTCAGAAAGCCAGGCCTCTTGTGCCAAACTGTTAGCCAAACTGCAAATGCAAAGTAAAATTCTTGAAGGAATTAGAAGTGCTACTCCAGTAAATGCACAAATTATAAGAAAGCAAAATAGCCTTATTGGTGATATAGAGAAAGTTTTAGTGGTCTGGATAAAAGATCAAACCAGCCACAACATTTTTTTCAGCCAAAGCCTAATTCAGAGCAATGCCCTAACTCTCTGTAATGCTATAAAGGCTGAAAGAGGTGAGGAAGCTGCAGAAAAAAAAAATCTCAAGATAGTGGAGGCTGGTTCATGAAGTTTAAGAAAAAAATCTGTCTCCAAAATATAAAAGTGCAAGGAGAAGAAGCATGTAATAATATAAAAGTTGCAGTAAGTTATTCAGATTACCTAGCTAAGATCATTGATGAAAATGGCTACGCTAAACAATGGATTTTGCAGGCAGAACAGTCTTATATGGGCAGTAGATGCCATGTAGAGCTTCCATAGTTAGAGAAGGGAAGTCAATGCCTGGCTTCAAAGCTTCAAAGGACAAACTGATCCTCTTATTAGGGGCTAATGCAGCTGGTGTCTTTAAGTTAAAACCAATGCTCATTTACTATTCTGAAAATTCTAGGTTCCTTAAGAATTATATTAATTCTACTCTGCCTGTGTTGTATAAATGGATCAACAAAGCCCAGATAACAGAACATCTCTTTACAACAGAATTTTTTTGAATATTTAAAACCCACTGTTGAGACCTACTGCTCAGAAAAAGAGATTCCTTTCAAAATATTACTGCTCACTGGCAAAATACCTGGTCACCCAAGAGCTCTGATGAAGGTATACAAGAAGATTGAAGTTTTCATGCCTACTAACACAACATCCATTCTTTAACCCGGGATCATGGAGTAATTTAGATATTCAAGTCTTATTATTTAAGATATAATATTTTGTAAGGCTAAAGCTATCATAGATAGCTCTTATTCCTCTGATAGATCTGGGCAAAGTAAATTTAAACCACTGGAAATAATTTATGATTGTAGATGTCATTAAGAACATTCTTAATTCATGTGAGCTGAAAATATCAACATTAACAGGAATTTACAAGAAGTTTATTTCAACCCTAATTAATGACTTTGAGGGGTTCAGACTTCAGTGGCAAAAGTAATGTCAGATGTGGTGAACATAGCAAGAGAACCAGAATCAGAAGTGGATCCTGAAGATGCAACTGAATTGCTACAATCTCATGATCAAACTTGAGTGAATGAGGAATGAGGAGTTGTTTCTTATAGATATGAGCAAAAAAAGTGTTTTTTTGAGATGGAATCAGTTCCTGGAGAAGAGGCTGTGAACATTGTTGAAATGACAACAAAAAATGTAGAATATTACATAAACTTAGTTGATAAAATAGTCTCAGGGATTGAGAGGATTGATTCCAATTTGGAAGAAGTTCTACTGTGGATAAAATGCTACCAAACAGGATCTCATGCTACAGAGAATCATTTCATGAAACAAAGAGTCAAATAATGCCACAAGCTTCATTGCTGCATTGTTGTAAGAAACTGCCACAATCACCCCAACCTTCAGCAATCACCATTCTGATCAGTCAGCAGCCATCAACTTCGAGGCAAGACCCTCCATGAGCAAAATGATTATTACTTGCTGAAGCCTCAGATGATTGTTAGCATTTTTTACAATAAATTATTTTTTAAATTACAGTATGTACATTGTTTTTAGGCTTTGCACACTTAGTAAAATATGCTTTGTACACTCAGTAGATTACAGTATTGTAACAATAACTTTTGTGTGCATTGGGAAACCAAAATATTTGTGCGACTTACTTTATTGCCATGGTCTGGAATAGAACCTGCAAAATCTCTGAGGCATGCCTAAATATAGATATAAATCTCTAAGACCTTCTGTTCACTTTACTATGAAAAAAGATTGTAGGTCATAAAGATTTATAAGTGAATAGAGTTTAAGTAGCTAAATTCATGAGTACCAAAGTAATTTTATACAGTTGACCTTTGAACAACACAGGTTTGAACTGCACAATTCATTTATACACCATTATTTTCAAGAAATCTCTCCTGCCTCCCTTTCCACCTACCTCACTGCTTCTGCCTCTGCCACCTCTGATATAGCAAAACCAACCCTTCCTTTTTCTGCTCCTCCTCATCCTATGCAATGTGAAGATAACAGACGGGGATAGAGACCTTTATGATGATCCACTTCCCCTTAATAAATACTAAATATATTTTATCTTATGATTTTATTAATAATATTTTTTCTCTAGCTTACTTTATTGTAAGAATATAATATATAATACATATAGCAAACAAAAATGTGAAAATTGACTGTTTATGTTATCAGTGAAGCTTTTTGTAAATAGTAGGCTACTACTAGTTAAGCTTTGGAGGAATCAAACTTTATACATGAATTTTTGACTGTGTGGGGGCTTGTAACCCCTAACCCAAGGGTTGATCAAAGGTCAACTGTATGTTCTGTGTTTGAAACACTAAAGGGCAATATGAAATTCTCTGTACAAAAGGAGAAACTAAAGAGTAGAAAGTCCAAGGATTCTTTTTATTTCGCCAGACACCTGATTAGAAAGAACAAGCAAACCTTATCTTCAGTGCATTAAAGGAAAGGTCATTGAGCAACTTTTCATTCTCCTTTTTGCATTTTCCTGTGGTACAAGTGTCAGTTCCAGGCAAGAGCCTATCACTTGTTCTTTTATTTTATTTTTCTCTTTCAAGATTGTTAGAAATCTAAAAATATCATTTTTTCTTCACTGGGTTATTTCTCAAAAAAAGACACCTTTCTACCCTTTTACTCTTCTACCTTACTTCATATCCTGTGGACATATTTTTGCTATGTGATTTTTTAGTTATAGTTGTTCATTTGGAAAAGGGTTAATATCAATTCTTGACCCTGTGAAATAGGGGTGAGCTACAAAGCAATGTGCCTTCATATGAGATACAGTAAAGTCAACTGAGGGAAGCCAAAGAAATTCAATCTTGGGCACTTGAAAAAATCAGCTTGCAAACAACTCTTTACATTATAAATTATTTACACATTTAGATTGCACTGTAATTTATTTACATGAAAAAGATTGTTATAAGCTGAGCAGAATCTTTGTCAATTCTCAGTACAATTTCAGAAAACATAGATATAACACACTTTGTACAGAAACATATGTCTCGGAAAAAATGTTTTTAAAATAATACAATTTTTTTTTAAAAATAAAGAGAAAGAAAAAGGTGAAATTATCAGTATATTAGTATCTAGCAATTTCTCATTACATTTATTAAATACACTATGAAACTGAAAAAGTGAGATGAAAAGTATAAAAAGATAAAAATTATTAAGACGCATTTCTCAAGTACTTCTGAGTTTAAGATAAAATAATATTGCCAAAATGGCCCAGCCACCGGCCTAAAATTGTAATTTAAGCCTATTTTTTTTAGTGTACTCTTCTTATTTATTATTGATGGAACTAAATATTAATTTATATATTCTCCACTGTTTCCCCAACATATAATTATGCTTATAAACTTACTTCTGAAATTAATAACATTTATAGTCATAAAAGCAAATGCAAATATATACCCATTTCTATAACATGGTAAATGAGGCAGAATTATAAAAATGTAAATAATTAGTAACCAGTAGTATTTTGGAAGGATGTTTCAGTAAAAATTATCACAACACTCAATTTTCACTCAAGGGATTTTTTTTGGCGGGGAATAGACTGAAGAAGATATCTGGCAGAAGGAAAGGAATACGATTTTAGAATAGGGCATAGTATAAAAATTCGAGTTCCAAGTGACATAACTAAAAGAAATGGATTTTTAAAACAGTCAGATAAACTAGTGGCAGGCAGTGTAAAATTACATATGGAAGAAGTAGCAACCTCTAATCTATTGTTTTAGCTTCAAAGGGAAAAAATGAATGGCGGGGGAAAGGAAGGTCAGACTCCTACTTGGAGTGCCAGCACCAGCCATCAGGAGAACTGAAGTGCTACCTGCTCCTCCCAGGTGGGGGTGGAAGGTTAGCTCCTTGTTCTTTTTACCAATACCACTTGTCTGAGTGCCGCCACCTATTTTGCTGGGGAATGGATGGGGTGGAATGTCAGCTCTCTGCTCTTTCTCACTGAAACCATGGGGCAGTTGGGTTCCCTTGGTGTTTGGCTGTAGGCGGCTGGGTATTTCCAAAATGATTTTCTGTTCTGTTAGGTCACTTCAGGGAACAAGCTTAGCTTGAAATTTATTTTCTTGGCTTTGCCTATTGGAGGTTCTGGGTTGGAATCTTCTGCAGTACCCTGTCTAGGATATATGAGGGGCAATAAAGAAACCAAAGGACCCACTGTGTCATTCCTTGAGAACCAAGGTTCCTAGACAGTTTACATTCTCAGCTCCACCTTTCAGAGTCTTTCTATACTTGTTTGTTGTGTTATGTCCAGAGAGTTTTGGTTGGAACAGGAATAACCTAGAAGCAATGTGTCTACTCCATTTTGACTGAAAATGGAAGTACAAATCATTCCTTGTTATGTTCATCATACTTTAGGTGTTTCCTCTTCCTTTCAAAACTTCCTTTAGAAATGCAGATTTCCATGCTCATGGGCACTCCATGGTATATATATGGGAGACTCTCATGATAATGATCATTTCAAAGACCTCAGGTCAATTACAGTCTTATTCCTTCCTACTCTGCCAGTTCTGCGCCAAGTGGCCTGTTCGTACTTGACTCTATTCTGAAATGTCACTGAGAATTTTTGTATTGCTGGTCTCCTTTCACAACTATATCTAATGAATTAATTTCATTATACCAGCAGGTTCTCTATATGAAAATAAGAAAGCTTAACAAAGTGTCTGTGTTGCCAAATGGTCTCAGTATGTGACAGATTATGAGAATGCCTAGACTTTGTTTATGAGTTTGCAAATTTTCAATTCATATGGGTCCTTAGGAAATTACTTAAATCTCAATGTAAAATAAAATTACAAAATTCCATAAAAAATGCAGATTTCCAAACTAACGTTTCCTTTTCTGTGGAAATGAATTTTGAGTATGTGCCTGAGAATGTACAGATATTAGACAAAGCACTATCTGTAGTTTAGGATCCATACTCTTTTTTTATTTTCCTCTACAGAGCTATTTTCAAGATTATACAATAATGATTCAGAGAATAAGGAATTTGACAAATGTCACATACCTTAACAGTGATTGAGCCTAGATTTTCTTTTCTTTTCCTTTTTTTTCTTTTCTTTTCCTTTCTTTTCTTTTCTTTTTTTTTTTTTTGAGAGTCTCACTCTTGTCGCCCAGGCTGGAGTGCAGTGGCGCCATCTCAGCTCACTGCAATTGCAACTTTCGCCTCTCAGGTTCAAGCGATTCTTGTGCCTTAGCCTCCCAAGTAGCTGGGATTACAGATGTATATTTTTAGTAGAGACTGCGTTTCGCCATATTGTCCAGGCTGGTCTCAAACTCCTGGCCTCCTCTGCCTCCCAAAGCGCTGAGATTACAGGCGTGAGCCACCGTGCCCTGCCAAGCCCAGAGTTTAAACAAGTCTTGTGGCTTGTGAGATTCCAAATCTGTTTTTTTGTTTTTATGTTTTTAAATTTCTGCACTTTATTTTCTTTCATGAAAGGAATGATTGCTTTGCATTTCATTGCTGCTAGGTCATGAGTTTTTTAGTGAAGGAGGGATCAGTCTCAATCATCTTTTTATGTTTTGTGCTTAACACATACTCAGGATTTAATAGAGTTTGTTTCTTAAATAAGTGCTAATTTGAGACCACTTTAAAAAATTAAAAAAAAAAAAAAAGCCAAAATGCTTAGAGATCAAAGAGTACCCCGGAAAGTAATAAAAGAAAGAGAAGTACTTCTTTGTAAAAGGAATTTTTTTCCATATAAAAAAAGAAACAGAACTTAAAGATTCTTATAAAGAGAATAAAAAAGAGATTTCAAATAAATGTAAAATAAGAGCAACTTAACCTGAGACTAGAACATGAAGGGGATTATTAAATCATCTTCTTTCAGCTTTATCTGCAGGGAGTCATCAGTTAAATATGCCAGATGAAGAGTTTGTGATGGAGAACACTTGCTGGATCAAAACCAAGAATGAAAGGTACACTTACGATTTATGACAGATGTTTATCATGTGATTTTCAATTTAAAGGAGGAAAAAATCCTAAACATATCCAGATTGCCAAAAAGTTTTGTTTTTCACATAAACAAATATATCTAGAGATGAAGCAAGGTTCAACATCAAGAGACTTTTTAAAAAACTTTTGTTCAATGGGAGAAATATAAGTATACTTGAACTTCTTTTAAAAACTGTTTGCAGCTAAGCAAGAAACAGTGTGAACATTTTTTTGACCTTTCCCCAAATAGAAGATGGAACAAAATACTAAAACATTCTTCAAACACAATTTTACCTAAAAATTATTTCATGAAAGAGATGGGAGAAAAATGATGATAAGTATTAGCTCTGAAAAAAAAGTGAATATTTGATATCTGCAGATAGCAATTTTCCTTTAGAAAATTTAGTGATGAGCAGTAGGGAGAGAATATCACATAAATGAGATAGCTGCAGAAACTGATGGTGTCTTTTGATCTTCAGAATATTTAATTTAATTTAGTGAAAATAAAATTGCCCTAAAATTATTTTCATAAATTTTACATATATTTATGAAGTAAATATTTCCATATTTATTTTTATGTCTGTAGCGTATATATTCTATTTATTACAAATGTATGTATTTGTATAGGGTAAGCATCTTTACTTTTATCTGTAAGCAGGGATCCTGGCTAGACAAAATATGGTATCTACTTAGGCTGGCTGATATGGAAATTGGTAACACCCCTTTTTACAACTAATTAACTGAAACCTTTGATTAATGTGGAGCCTGAAACAGTCAGGAGGAGGAAGAATTTATTCATAGATACAACAATGGCTGCTATATAAAGATGAGAGCTGGGAATCAGACTGAGTACACATAGTTTGAAAGTCAGAATGGAATTAGGTTTCACCTATAGCATGGTAGATACTTGAATCCAATAAAACTCAGCTCTTTGAGCTGGGAGTATGAGTGTTAATTAAAATAAGTTCTGCACATGTAACACAGAACTTAAAGTATAATAAAAAATAAGGCAGATTTGACTCCGTTTACTTCATTTTTACTGTAATTTATTTTCTACATTTTCTTCCATCCGTATAATGGTGAAGGTGGCTGAAAACAGCATTCATAGTGTATGCTCACAGCATATTAATTTATTCATTTTGCCAGAACAAAGAGAACCCTAGTTATTGTACATTTGAAACTATCATTGTTTTAAAAAGAATCATTAGGTACTAAATCATGGAAATTGTTAGAGCTGGAAGTGAATATAGAAACACTATTTGATTTTATTTGATATTTTTCAAATTTAACTTCTATTAAATAAATGAGCTACCTAATCAAGGTTTTCTGCCAGTGTAGTTGTATTTATGATTATTCTCAATGTCATGATAACAATAATCAAATATTCTGCTAAATTTTATGTACATAAAATAGTATTTTCTAAATTAGAAAAAGTATAATTAGAAAAAATGTTCAATTTTAAATTTAAAATATATCTTGCTAAAAAGGATTACACAGGCATATTAGATTAATGTTAATTTCTTTTTTTGGAAGTATAGTATAAATATAATATATTTTAAAACTGAAATATTTATCAGATTTTGGAAATATTTTGAATTTCAATTCCCACTAGTCATTTAGAATAAAAGTGTCAGTGTCCATGAAAAAGGTATCTGTTTAATCTGCTGAGACTGAAGAATTGCAAAGCTGTACTCCTTTTTAAACGTAGGTGTGCCTATGACACCTTGCAGTGAAGGAAGCTGTACCTATAGCAGATAATTCTATTAGGCAAAATGTTTTGATAAAGGCTGTGATTTGATGAAAGTTTCTTATGAAACAGATAAAGGATAACCCACAAAATAATTTGCATTCAAATTCTGTGCAACTGAACCATATTTAAATGAATAATTTGTGCTTTCTAATTAATCATGCTCAAAAAGTCTATTCAGCACGTACTGGTGTTCTTTCAACCTGCATGCTTATTAACGAAATGCAAGAGAGTAAATAAATAAAAATATGATTGTATTGATCTGTTGAATCAAAGAAAATCTAAAGAAGATCAACTGCACTCTATTATTTCCATGTTGCTCAGATCCATGCCGGGGATTTGTTTGGTTAATGATCAGTTGATATTTTAAGTTCATATTTTAACCTAAACTGAGAGTTTCATATTTAAACCTAAACTTTCTTTTTTTTTTTTTTAAGTTCCAGTACAATTAGAATGTTTAGCACTAGCATGAAATTTGACGTTACATTAAATGACAAAAGGATCTTGTTTCCTAAAAGTCAGGTACTCTAACATGAACGTAGCATGTTCTGGGAGCAGAGTCAAATTTGAGGGATTTGGCATTAATACTTGAAGGTTACCCAGTGTATGCTTTAGCCATTTCAGCCATTCTCCTGAAGTAATGGCTTACAATTGTTCACCTTAAAGAAATGACACATAAATGTTTTACACTTAATACTGTCTATACAGGAGTTGTATTTCAATTGATTGGGTGAACTAAAATAAATTTGAGAAGAATGTTGAAAAGTGAAGAGTTATTCTATCTCTAAAGTTCTTTGAAGCACTAAAATTCCAGAGTTCTGTGGTAATCCACCTAGGGCACAGAATTCAGGTTTCTGACATTTTAGCTGTGCTTGTCATTATTCATGTCCCGTCAAAAATCTTATAGCTCAGATAATCTGATAAATAACAGTGTTGGCAGAAATACAGTGTATTTTTTTAATTCCTTTATTCACTGAGATCATTCTAGAATACACAATAGTTTGGCAATGCAAGTGATAAAAACCAGATATGTTGAGCGACCTATTGCTATGGATTAATTTTATCTAGTTTTCCTCCCTAAACTTGGCAGCTACTTTTGACATGTCTTAAGTTACTCCATCAAGAATAAATAATAATTTGTGGCATATTCAACCACTAAATTTTAATTGACTATACATAACATTGATTCTCATGTCTTTGTGGAATAAACCACGACATACAGATAGAAATTTCTGTGGTGGTGGTTTGGTTTATTTCACACAGGCAGTCCAAAAGAATTGTTTATCTGTTTCAAATTAGAAATTAGATAACCAATTTTAATCTTTTTAATAATATAGAGATTTAGTATTTTCAAAGATAAACAAATGAAAAAGGAATTAAGTTTGATCCAACACAACAATTTAAGCTAATAATAGAATTAAGCAAGCCAATATTATATAGCTAGACAGTAATAAAGGGGGAGTGGTTTAGTGGCTGTAGGAGCTCATGACAAAGTTATCCTCCAAAAATAGAAAAAAATGAGGAAACAAGAAGAGAAGCAATATAGCAACTACCAACAAAATTAACTGGCTTAGTTTTTTTTTTTTTTTTTGGTATAAAATTGAGGGCTTAGTGATATGTGTGGCTCAGGGGGAGATCAGTCCTGGTGGCATATGGCAATTTGACCAAATCAGACATAGTAGGGCATTCTTGATCATCTTCAAATACGAGGGCATATAGAAAATATGGGTAGCTTAATATGCACCCCAAGATCTCATAGATCCACTTAGAAAGGGGAATAAAGCCCAAACTAAAGCTGCCAAAAATTTAACAATATCTATAATTTAGGCACAATTTTGGCATATGTTATATGTATATATAGTATTTTCTTTCTTACATTAAACCTATCAAGGTAATTTTGTGGTATGTCTGCTACATTTGAGATATTCCAAGGAGTGTTTGAAAAATGTGCATTCTCCAATTATATTTTATGTGGCTGAATAAAAATTTGCATAAGTAGGTATGCTACAAATACTACTTTGAAGATTCAGAGGCTGATTGGGAGAAAAATAGCCATTATCTATCTTGTAGTTTAATGGCATAAGCCTTGAAAATTGAGGTCTTAATTTAGCCAACTTTTCAGCGCTAGTTTCAACACCAAACATCTTCAAAACTACTCTTGTATGTGTATATATACACTAAATTTACATAAACACATCTATATGTATATAGCTAATTTATTTTTCAGAATTTTGTTGTAATCCATGTCTCTGGAGGTTAGGACAAGTGTTTTTAAATGTCACTAATACAAATTTACCACATTCTAAAAATCAGACCCTAACCAGACCAAAAATCAGGTTGGTTCTGTATACCCTCACTCCCAGGGAAGCTTGGAATAAGTCTGTCTTTGTTTTCAAGTGCATTCTATATTCACAGTAAGGTTTTCTCCTAAGGTTAACAAACCTGGGAGTGAACTCAGGCAAGCTTTGGTTGAACTCATTCTGAGTATTCAGCAATTTCTTCACAATAACAAGTTGGAATATGGAAATGTAAGTTATGTGGTTACCTCCGTTAAAATTCCAGTTACTGATTGATTTCAAACCTGGAGACTTCAGTGGAAGATTTGCTCTATGTGTTTGGACAAATCTTCTCTGAGAAAGACACAATTTAAATCAAATCATTACACATCATGATTGAAACCACTAGTCAGGAAGACTTGTAATGAATGCTATGTGAAAAAAATGAATATGTGTAGCTGGGTACAACTTCAATGTATTTTTCTCATAGTTCAGATGCAGATATTTTACATTAGGAGGTACAGACTTTGTAAAGCAGTGATTGTATTGTTTTGTGTTACATCTGTCATTACATTAGAAAACCATTTGGCAGGTTTAGACATGCTCACAATAAATGGAATAATCTCTTAGTGCTCATGTCGTACCAACATAGTCACTTGCTTAATGATTAGATTTTTACTTTTTATTTCCTCTAATAGATTCTAAGTAACAGAGGACAGTATGTCTTTGAATTATTCTTATTTTTATGTAGGTATTATATAAGAAACATTGGTGATTGAGACAAAATATTTCTTATTTTCTTTGTATTACCAGGTATATAACTTGGTAGACAAAAATTGAAACAATTTTCACATCAGTAAATTTTAGATTTTTATTTTTGATTTTTCAATGAATGTCTGTTTCTGTCTAAAACAATATATCTGAGAGCACAGAATTTAGCATCTTTGCTCAGTGTGTGTCTCTAGTGCCCTGCATAGTGCTTAGCACGTAGTAGCTGTTAGCTAAATATTTAATGAGTAAATTGAATAAATATATCCCCATATTTTCTTTATTCATAACTCTGTCAATAAAGAAATGCTATTAAGATGTCTCAATGTAGTTATAGAGCAGATTTTAGCGTTTGACGGTTCTAGAATTAGTTAACATATATGCTAAGTTGCTATTAAAAAGAAGTTTGAAAATGGTGACTTAGTAAGATAAAGTTTTATTTGTTTTTCATGCAAATGTTCTGGGATGACAGGGTTTGCTCTTCTTTCAATGTCATTTAGAGACTAAATCTTATCATAGCTGCAATTGATAAACTTTAAAAAGATCAAACATTAGATATTTCATCAAATGTTTCTTTAAATATATTTGCCAGTGAATAAGTTCTATACAGTATTGGCCTCTCAAAATTTTTATTTAACTTTTGTTTCAAACTTTTAAAAAAGTGTTAAAAGCAACATTGTTTAAATAAAAAAGCTTTAGCATAGGTCAGTCTTAAAAAATAGATGAACTATAAATAGGATAATTACACTTAATCTGTATATACACACACATATAACTTGGTCTACAAAAAAATCTTTGAATAGTATGTTGACAGTGATTACCTCTGGGAATTGGATTTATTTAAGGCTGTTCTTTGAACATTATAGATTTCTGTAATGTATGAATTTTAAGAAGCTTCAGTATGACTTTGGAAATCTGAAAAATATATTTAAAGAAGATAAAATTTTGAAGCAATAGTCTTTTTATGATAATGCATATTTTAAACATGTGTGGCAGAGCAAAGGAATTATGCCAAAAAACAAAAATCTCCAGAGCTTTTGGCATTAAAAATATAACTTCAAAAAGAAATTTAAGAAATATGAAAATAGTAGTGAAATCATTACTTTTCAGAAAACCAGTGTGTTATTAAAATTTTAAAAGATAGTAAAGTGAAATATGTTATTAACTCTAAGTTTTTAAATCTCAAAGAATAGTGACCATAAATGTGGAACCTGTTTTGAAACGGCTATAAAAATAATGAAACATTAAATGAAACTATAGCCAAAAATGTGTCAATTTTTACATACTTGATGCAAAAAAATGATCCCTAACTTCAATCTGAAAAGAATTGTGAAAAGTTCAATTTCATCTATAAGAGAATCAATTTAATCAATCTTGACTCTTTGTTTATTCAATATTGCCTTCACAATAATGTTCCATGAAATTCCAAATTATTGCATACTTATTTGACCCAACTAATCATTGCAGGATGTACAAAAGATTTATTTTCCTAAAGTTTCTCAAAAAATGTTCAAGTAAATATCATATATGGGAGAGGGAAGAAAAGAGTCTGGCAATAAATATATTGAACAAAAATTACTAATGATATTAATTGAACCTTAAGAATTCAATTGTATTAGAAAAGTATTTTCTACTTCAGCTGAAAAACACAATATGCTTTATTCATTTGGTTTAATCAATAAATATTTGCACTTTAGTTGAAGTTTTACACTTTATATTTCAAATTTTACCTAATAAGACTTAAATATTACTTTCAGGGTCTTATCAAGGTGAGATATATGACTTAGTATGCAAAAAGTTTTTGAGAAATTGCTGTAATGACAATAAAAATGTATATGTTCACTTCTGAATAATATAGCAAAGATTCTGTTATTATCTTATTTACAAAACATAAAACTAAATTCCTTCACAATGTTTCTTTTAATCCTCATGAACAACCTATAAGTAAAATATCACCATTTTACAGATGAAGAAACTATTTCAAAGTCCTGTTGCTAGAATAAAGTTGCAATTTGAACCTAAGCAGCAATCTGACTTGACAGTCTAATCACTAAACTACCACATTATAAAGCTGGTATATATCTGAGTTATTTGTAATATACTAGCACCCTTTCTTCTGGGCCTCCCAAAATTTCAGTAATGAAATGTCTGTAATATGGTTATTTGCATAGTATAGACCCTAGAGTCTTCCATTAGCACCTTCCTAATCATATCTACCTCTTTCCCCACTAAACGATTCAATTGCCTGAAATTTGTAATAAGCATTTCTTATGTTTCTTTACAGTTTAGTGGTCTAACTATGCCTCCCTAGACATTATCCTTTAGTCTAACACATTTCACTATTTCTTTTTGTTGAGTCTCTACAACCCCCCATTCATCCTTTTCTTTTCCTATTTTCATTTTATTTTACTTTTTCAACTTTTATTTTAGAATTGTGCAAGTTTCTAACACAGGTATATTGTGTGATGCTGAGGTTTGGAGTATGAATGAATCCATCATCCAGGTAGTGAGCACAGTACCCAATAGGTAGTTTTTCAGCCCTTGCCCCATTCCCTCTCTCTTCTCTCTAGTAGTCTGCAGTTTCTATTGTTCCCGTCTTTATGTCCACGTGTACTCAATGTTTAGCTCCCACTTATAAGTGAATACATGTATATTTTGCTTTCTGTTCTTCCGTTAATTCACTTTGGATAATGGCCTCCAACAGCATCCACTTTGCTGCAAAGGACATGATTTCATTCTTTACATGGCTGCATAGTATTCCATGGTGTGTATGTACTACATTTTCTTGATCCAGTCCACCATTGTTGGGCACCTTGGTTGATTCCATGTCTTTGCTATTGTGAATAGTGCTGTGATGAACACATGCGTGCGTGTGTCTTTTTTATAGAAAGATTTATTTTCCTTTGGGTATATACCCAGAAATGGGATTCCTGGGTCGAATGGTAGTTCAACTCTTATTCTTTGAGGAATCTCCAAATTGCCCTCCTCAGTGGCTGGACTAATTTACATTCCCACCAACAGTGTATTAAGTGTTCCCTTTTCCTTACAATTACAGTCGTATATTGCTAAATGACAGTGATGTGTTCTGAAAAATGTGTCGTTAGGTTATTTCATCATTGTGTGGAGCATCATAAAGTGTCCTTACAAAAAACTAGATGGAATATCCCACTACACACCTAAGTATATAGTAGAGCCTTTTGCTCTTAAGCTACAAACTTGTGCAGCATATCATTGCACTGAATACTGTAGGCAAAAATATCATTGTATAAAACAAATATCGTTGTATGAAACAATGATATTTTTGTATATAAACATGTCTAAACACAGAAAAAGTACAGTAAAACTACAGCATTATAATATTATGAGACCACAGTTGTACATGCTGTACATGACTGGAATATCATTCTTTGATGCATGAATGTAATTTGTTGAAGAACACAGGCTATTTGACTTGCAGAGTTTTCCAAGTTTGGATTTTAATGGTTTCATGTTTCTATTTCCTCTATATTTCCTGCAAATGGGAGGATTGGTCCAGATTTAAAGTCACTTGGATCTGACAATTTTATTTAGATAAAATAGATAATATTTAGATAAAATAGATAATGTTGATAATGTTTTCTTTCATCAGGATTTATGTAATATCTGGTTGTCTCATTGTTATAATGTCAGCATCTATTCTTGTTTAATACCTAGATTAATACATTTAGCATGAGTTCAAAAGTTGTGATATTTTAAGTTTATCATTTCTTTTTAAATTATTTTAAAAAGAGAATAATTTTAAAAAGAGATTTCATTATCTTTCTGATATTTGGTCACCCAGAGGTACAGTACATCTAGTTCAGACAATGTGAATGTTTTCCCTTTACTTATGAGTTATCAAGAACAAATAATAAATTTGTTCACCTTAAAAGTGAATAGTCAGGGTGGAGAGGCCAAGATGGCTGATTAGCAGCAGCTGTGGTCGTGGCTGTCATGGAGAGGATCCACTGGGAGTGACATGGAGCCAGGGGAGCCCCTAGCCCCAGTCAAGGGGGGCAGTGAGTGATTGTGAGACCCCACCCAGGAAACCATGCTTTTCTCACAGATCTTTGCAATCCACTGAGACCATGCCACCAGGGCCTTGGGTCCAAAGCACAGAGCTGTGCAGTCTCGGCAGAGTGACAGCTTGGTCATGCATGCAGGGAGACTCAGGAGTTCTGCATACTCTGGCCCTGGGAATTCTGGCAAGGTGGGAGAGCTGTCTATGCCTCCCCTGGGATGGAAGCTGAGTCCAGGGAGCCAAGCAGCATTGTTCTGTGGGCCCCATTCACACAGCATCTCACAAGTTAAGACCCACTGGCTTGGAATTCCAGTCAGACAGTGGCAGCAGGCTGGAGACTGCCTGAGACAGGCCGAGTTGGAGGGGGCAGGTGGGGCGAGGCAGGGCAGCTGCCATCTCTGCAGTTCCAGTCTATTCTAGTTTGCTGGTTCCTCCCTAGCAGTCTGGACCAGGAGGAGTTCCCCATAACGCAGCACATCTGCTCTTCCAGATCATGGCCAGTCTGCTTCTTTAAGAGGAACCCCAGTACATCCCTCCTCGCTGGACAGGGCCTCCCTGTGGGAATGTCAGCAACTCCAGTCAGGGTTATATGGACAGAACTCTGATCTTTGCCTGGGATGGAGTCCCCAGGGGGAGGTGCAGCTACCTACTCTGTGGTTCAGCTGACGTAGCCTTTCCAGCCTGCTGGCTCTGGAGAGTCCAGGTGATATGAGCAAAGTGGATTACCCCCACAGCACACCTGCTCTGCCAAAGGGCAGCTAGACTGCCTCCTTAAATAGGTCCCTGATGCCATTCCTCCTGACTGGGTGAGACCTCCCAACAGGGGTCTCCAGACACCTCCTGATGCATTCGGGCCAGCATCAGGTTGGTTCCCCCTGGGAGGGAGATCCCTGAGGAAGGAACAGCCTTCCCTGGTGATACTTCCAGATGTAGGAGGGACTGAGACAACTAGGGTCTGAAGTGGACCCCCAGCAAACCACAACAGCCCTACAGAAGAGTGGCCTGACTGTTAAAAGAAAACAAACAGAAAGCAACAACAACAACAACATCAACTAAAAAATTCCCCACAAAAACCCCATTCAAATTTCAGCAACCTGAAAGATTGAAGGCTCACAAAGATGAGAAACAAAAAAAATGGGAAAATGCTGAAAACTCAAAAAGCCAGGTCCCACTTCTCCTCCAAAAGACCAAAACACCTCTCTGGCAAGGACACAGGACTGGGCAGAGGCTAAGATCACTGAATTGACAGAAGCAGACTTCAGAAGGTGGGTGTATTAGTCCGTTCTCATGCTGCTGATAAAGACATACCCAAGACTGGGTAATTTATAAAAGAAAGAGGTTTAATGGACTCAAGGTTCAGCATGGCTGAGGAGGCCTCACCTTCATAATAGAAGGCAAAGGAGAAGGAAAGGCGTGTCTTACATGGTAGCATGCAAAAGGGCATGTGCGGGGGAACTCCCTTTATAAAACCATCAGATCTCATGAGACTTACTCATCAGCACAAGAACACAATGAGAAAAACTCACCCCCTTGATTTGATTATTTCCCCCAAGGTCCCTCCCATGACATGCAGTGATTATTACAATTCAAGATGAGATTTGGGTGGGGACACAGAGCCAAACTACATGAATGGGTAATACAAACTTTGCTGAGCAAAAGAAGAATGTTCTAACAAAACACAAAGAATCTAAGAACCATGATAAAATAATACAGGAGTTGATAACCAGAATAGCCAGCTATTCTATTCTTCTTAGAGAAGAACATAACTGACCTGATGCAGCTGAAAAACACAACATGAGCACTTCACAATGCGAACACAAGCATCAGTAACTGAACACGCTAAATGGAGGAAAGGATCTCAGAGCTTGAAGACTATCTTGCTGACATAGGACAGGCAGACAAGTTAGAGAAAAACAATGAAAAGTAACAAAGAAAACCTCCAAGAATTATGGAATTATATAAAAGGACCAAACTTGCAACTGACTTGGGTAACTGAAACAAATGGAGAAAATGAAACCAAGTTGGAAAATATACTTAAGAATGTCATCCAGGAGAAACTTCTCCAGATAGCAACACAGGCCAGAATTCAAATTCAGGAAATCCAGAGAACCTCAGTAAGATACTCCATGAGAAGATCCATCCCAAGAAACATAATCATCAGATTCTCCAAGGTCAAAATGAAAGAAAAAATGTTAAGCACAGCTAGAGAGAAAGGCCAGATCACCTACAAAGAGAAGTCCATCAGACTAACAGTGGACCTCCCAGTGGAAACTCTATAAGCCAGAAGAGATTGAGGGCCAATAATCAACATTCTTAAATAAAAGAATTTTGAGCTCAGAATTTCATATTTGTCCAAACTAAGCTTTGTAAGTGAAGGAAAAATAAGATCCTTTTCTGACAAGCAAATGCCAAGTCAATTTGTCAACACTAGGCCTTTCTTGCAAGAGCTCCTGAAGGAAGCATTAAATATGGAAAGGAAAATCTGTTACAAAAACACACTGAAGTACACAGGCCGGTGAAGCAACCACATAAACAAGTCTGCAAAATAACCAACCACCATCATGATGGCAGGATGAAATTCACATGTAACAATATTAACCTTAAATGTAAGTGGGCTAAATTCCCTAATGAAAAGACATAGAATGGAAAGCTGGATAAAGAGTCAAGACTCACTGATACGCTGTCTTTAAGAGACCCATCTCATGTGCAAAGACACACATAGGCTAAAAATAAAGGGATGGAGGAAAATTTACCAAGCAAATGGAAAACAGCAACAACAAAAAAGCAGGAATCACAATTCTATTTTCTGACAAAACAGACTTTAACCTAACAAAGATCAAAAAAGACAAAGAAGGGCATTACAAAATGTTAAAGATTTCAGCTTCAATTTGATAAGAAAAGCTAAATATTGTAAATATATATGCACCCAGTAGAGGAGCACCCAGATTCATAAATCAAGTTCTTAGAGACCTGCAAAGAGACTTAGACTCCCACACAATAATAGTGGAGACTTTAGCACCCCACTGAGAATATCAGACAGATTATTGAGACAGAAAATTACCAAAAATATTCAGGACCTGAACTCAGCTATGGATCAAGTGGATCTGATTGATACCTACAGACCTCTCCATCCCAAAGCACAGAATATACATTCTTCTCATCACCACATAACACTGACTCTAAAATTGATCTCATAATTGGAAGTAAAACACTCCTCAGCCAATGTAAAAGAACTGAAATCATAGCAAACAGTTTCTTAAACCACGACACAATCAAATTAGAACTCAAGATTAAGAAACCCACTAAAAACCACACAACTACATGAAAATTGAGCAACCTGCTCCTGAATGACTCTCGGGTAAATAATGAAATTAAGGCAGAACTTAAGAAGTTTGAAACTAATGAGAACAAAGAGACAGTGTACCAGAATCGCTGGAATGCAGCTGAAACAGAGGGAAATTTACAGCACAAAATGCCCATATCAAAAAGCTAGAAAGATCTCAAATCAACAACCTAACATTACAACTAAAAGAACTAGAGAACCAAGAGCAAGCAAACCCAAATGCTGGCAGAAGACAAGAAATAAACAAGAGCAGAACTGAAGGAGATAGAGACATAAAATACCATTCAAAAAAATCAATGAATCCAGGGGCTGATTATTTTTTAAATTAATAAAATAGACTGCTAGCTATACTAATAAAGAAAAAAAGAGAAGAATCAAATAGACACAATCAGAAATGTTAGGGCGGATATCACCACTGACCACTGCTTCCAGCTTTTTCCCATTCAATATGATATTGGCTGTGTGTTTGTCATATAAGGCTTTTATTATTTTGAGGTGTGTTCCTTCAATACCTAGTTTATTGAGAGTTTTTAATATGAAAGGATGTTGAATTTTATTGAAGGCTTTTTCAGCATCTATTGAGATAACCATGTCATTTGTCTTTGGTTCTCTTTTTGTGATGATTTGCATTTATTGATTTGGTTTGCTGGTATTTTATTGAAGATATTTACATTGATGCTCCCATTCTGTGGAATGCTGTTGGTATCCATGCTGTGGACAGAAATACAAGCAACAATCTGATAATACTATAAACACTTCTATGCACATAAACTAGAAAATCTAGAAGAAGTAGATAAATTCCTGTATATGTACACATTCTCAATACTGAACTGGAAAGAAATTGAATCCCTGAATAGACCAATAATAAGTTCTGAAATTGAGGCAGTAATAAATAGCCTACCAACCAAAAAAAGCCCAGGACAAGATGGATTTATAGCTGAATTCTATCAGAGGCACAAAGAAGAGCTGGTACTATTTCTACTGAGACTATTCCAAAAAATTGAAGAGAAGTGACTCCTCTTTAACTCATTCTATGAGAAAGCATCATCCTGACACCAAAACCTGGCACACATACAACAAAAAAAGAAACTTCAGGCCAATATTCCTGATGAACATTGATGCAAAATCCTCAATAAAATACCAGCAAACCAAATCCAGCAGCACATTAAAAAGCTTATCCACCATGATCAAGTTGGCTTCATCCTGGGATGCAAGGCTGGTTTAACATACACAAATCAATAAATGCAATTCATCACAAAAACAGACCCAGAGACAAAATCCACATGGTTATCACAATAGATGCAGAAAAAAGCCTTCAATAAAATTCAACATCCCTTCATTTAAAAAACTCTCAATAAACTAGGTATTGAAGGAACATACCTCAAAATAATAAGAACCATATATGACAAACCTACAGCCAATATCATACTGAATGGGCAAAAGCTGGAAGCATTCCCTTTGATAACCAGTACAAGACAAGGATGCCCCCTCCCATAACTCCTATTCAAGTTCTGGCCAGGTCAAACAGGCAAGAGAAAGAAATAAACCGTATTCAAATAGGAAGAGAGGAAGTCAAATAATCTTTGCAGCTGACATGATCTTAACCTGATAAGCAGCTTCTGCAAAGTCTCAGATTACAAAATAAATGTGCAAAAATTGCTAGCATTATTAAACACTAGCCACAGGCAAGCAGAGAGACAAATCATGAGTGAACTCCCATTCACAATTGCTACAAAGAGAACAAAATACCTAGGAATATGGCTAACAAGGGAAGTGAAGGACTTCTTCAAGGAGAACTACAAACCACTGCTCATGGAAATCAGAGAAGACACAAACAAATGGAAAAACATTCCATGCTCATGGATAGAATCAATATCATGAAAATAGTCATACTGCCCAAAGTAATTTATAGATTCAATATTATTCCCATTAAACTAACATTGACATTCTTCACATAATTAGAAAAAAACTATTTAAAAATTCATATGGAACCAAAAAAGAGCCCAGATAGCCAAGACAATCCTAAGCAAAAATAACAAAACTGGAGGCATCATGCTACCCAACTTCAAACTATACTCCAAGGCTACAATAACCAAAACAGAATGTTACTGATACAGAAAGAGACATATAGACCCATAGAACAGAATAAACAACTCAGAAATAAGCCTGCACACCTACAACCATCTGATCTTCAACAAACCTGACAAAAACAAGCAATGGGGAAATTATTCCCTATTTAATAAATGGTAATTGGAGAACTGGCGAGCCATATGCAGAAAATTGAAACTGGTCCCCTTCCTTACATCTTACACAAAAAATAACTCAAGATGAATTAAACATTTAAATGTAAAACCAAAAACTGTAAAAACCCTAGACAACAATCTAGGCAATAGCCTTGAGGTCATAGGCATGGGCAAATATTTCATGCTGAAAACACCAAAAGCAGTTGCAACAAAAGCAAAATTTGACAAATAGGATCTAATTAAACTAAAGAACTTCTGCACAGCAAAAAAAAAACTATCATCAGAGTGAACAGACAACCCGCAGATGGGAAAAATTTTTGCCCTCTATCCATCGGACAAAGGTCTAATATCCAGAGTCTACAAGGAACTTAAACAAATTTACACACACACACGCACACACACACACCCAAACAACCCCATTAAAAAGTGAGCAAAGGACATGTACGGACACTTCTCAAAAGAAGACATTTATGTGGCCAACAAACATATGAAAAAATGCTCAACATCACTAATCATTAGAGAAATAAAAAATCAAAACCACAATGAGATATCATCTGACGGCAATCGGAATGGTCAAGAAGCAGCAAATGCTGGCTAGGCTGTGGATAAAAAGGAACACTTTTATGCTTTTGGTGAAAGTGTAAATTAGTTCAATCATTGTGAAAGACAGTATGGTAATTCCCTAAAGATCTAGAGGCAGAAATATGAATACCATGCAACCTAGCAATTCCATTACTGGGTATGTACCTGAAGAAATATAATTCATTCTATTATAAAGATACATACGTACATATTCATTGCAACCCTATTCACAATAGCAAAGACATGGAATTAACCCAAATGCCCATTAATGATAGACTAGATAAAGAAAATGTGGTACATATACATCATTGAATACTATGCAGTCATAAAAAGGAATGAGATCATGTCCTTTGCAGGGACACTAATGGACCTGGAAGCTGTTATCCTTAGCAAACTAATGCAGGAACACAAAACCAAACACTGCATGTTTTTACTTACAAGTGGGAGCCGAATGATGAGAACACATGGACACATGGGGAGGAACAACACACACTGGGGCCTCTCCAGTCGGGGGTGGCAAGAGAGTATCAAGAATAATAGCTAATGGATGCTGGGCTTAATACCCATGTGATGTGTTGATCGTGCAGCAAACCACTGTGACACACGTTTACCTATGTACCAAACCTCCACATCCTGCACATGGACCCCAGAACTTGTTATAAAAGTTGGGTTAAAAAAAGTGAATAATCAGGCTTTTATTTTTCGACAGTATCACGATGAAGTTATGTAAACACAGTTTTGATCTATTCTGTATTTATATCTTTCTGGAGTGCTTTTATTTTCTGTATGTTTGTTATTATATATTATTTATTCTCTTTTTTGTCATTATACTTTTTATGGAGTTTGGGCCTTAGCCCTTTTCTATTGCTCATTGTTATATGAAATCAGTCTTTTCTGGATCTTTAAAAGAAGGCTAGCTCAGGATGGGTTTTCCAATGTCATAGAACTTTATCTTCTGTTTTTTTTTTACATAGTTTCAAAGACTATAATAATTTATTTCTGAAATTCCCTAGCTCTGCTCTGTTCCCTCAGTATCCTCTCAAAATAGTCTGTCCTTTCCCTCTATATTCAACATCCTACTTATTTTTAATTTTATTACCATTAATTTCTCTTCAATGTGGAGCTACGTCATGGAAGGAAATTCTTGCTAGTCTGTTTCAAAAGCTCATAGGTAATAGATCTAACCAGAACCCATGAACGCACCTGCTGGTGAACTGGTCAAAACTGCTTTCATTTTAAAACTATCACTCTAAAATACACCCATTAGACTTTCTTGTTGGTCTTTGATACTCATATCAATCATTATTTCTTTGGTGATATGTATTATATTTATATACATAGTTGATTTATCTTTTGCATTAATTTTTAAGAGATATGGTTTATTTTCTTTTTCTCTGTATAAATAATCTTTTTCAAGGGTCTTAATTACTTTCCTCACAATGTATTATAAATATCAGCAAATCTTCTTTCTGTATTTTATATCTACATCTTAAAATAAATCTCTGGTTTCTTATTCCTTCATGGTTAATGTAACCTTCAAGAAGAAATTCCAAGTACATCCTGAGAAGGTGTTTGAACAGTCTTTATGATTTTAACGCCTTAACTTTCAAAAATGAGTCTGAATAAATATTTGCTGAATAAATATCTGACACAAACTTGCATCTATGTATTTATATCATACTAACAATTCACTTTGGTAACCTCCATCAATTGAAGATGACATTATTCAAGTTGTAGAATGAATGACAAAAACACGTAACATTCAGTTTAAAATGGAATATTTCATAAAATATAATTATAACTTAGAGTAATAAATTAACTCACTTTCTCTACAGTATATTCATAGCGCACAAAGTAATAAGTCTCAAAATTAATACTTTTAACCTTGACAACTCTTGTCTGCTAAGATTCAATTGTAGGTGGTCTGCTTTCACATAGAATATAGAAAAAAAGAAAAAAGGCATTGCTACCACTCTAACAATACAAAATGATGAAACTACAAAATCATAATTTTTAAAAAAACCACCTGAAACAGGTTGCAAAGTAAACAAGTAGACTGAAATCTAAGGAAAGATAAAACTTTCCAAGAAGAGGTGAGAAGTAAGCACTGGCTGACCTTCGGTAAAGTTTAGAAGGAAGATAACTTGGGTGCCACATAAAAAGTTAAGAAAAATACAGGTAAAATGTTTAGTGGTGTGTTCAAGGATAAGTAGAAATGATTATGTTAGAGTATAGAAACTCTGAGAAAATTAAACACAGAAACTCTTAAAAGTAACTCTTAAAAGTAATTGGGTGTCCAAAGGAAAAAATGGTAAAAATGGTAGCAATACGGGTTTATAGAATATGTAAAAGGAAAATGCATAAAAATTATATCATAAAAGAGAAAATATATATACACATTTGTGTTTCTTTACATATTTAATATATTATAATATTATTTGAAGTTAGATTGTAATTAAATACTTCATGTATACACAAAGGCAATTGAAAACAAAAATGATAGTGATAAATATTAGCCATTACTATAGATAGCAGATCATTATAACATAATCTAAATTAACCCAAAAGAAGGCACATACATGGACAAAAGGTACAGGAAAACAACGAATAAAGTAGAATACAAGCATCAGATTGTGGATTTAAATCCAGTCATATTAGAATTACATTAAACATAAATGGAGTATATAAAAAACTCTTAAAAATATAGAAGACAGCTATTGTCAAATTGGCTCAGATAACAAGAACCAACTCTATGCTGCCCAGAGAAAGTGAAAATTTAAATATAAAGACAGAAATAAGTTAAAAGTAAATGATAGGATAAAGGTATGCTCTACAAACATAATTAGTGTACAATTGTAGCAGCTATATTAATGTAAGAAAATAGACTTTAGAACAGGAAATATTGTCAAGAATAAAGAGAGATATTAAATTGTAATAAAAATGTCAATTTTTCAAAGATATACAACAATCCTGAATGTGTATTTTTCTAATAACAGAGTTTCAAAACTCTGTAAGAAAATACAGAACTGAAAGAAAAAATATATAAATCAACAATTTTAGTTGGAGATTTCAACACTTCTCTCTTAGCAATAGCACAAAAAGATAGAAAACAACCAAAAAGTTCTTTAAAGGAAAACAAAAAAAACTATCAGTCTATTGAACTAGGTAATTTATAGAACAATCCGACCAATATCAACAGAATACACTTCTTTTAACATTTAAAGCACAGGTTGCCCACAATACTTGTACCTCTGTAATTAGGTTTAGATGAGGTCATGAGTTTGGAGCCGCCCTGATGAGATAATGCCCTTTAAGAAGAGGAGGCAACACGCTATCTTTCCCTCTTTCTCTGCTATGCGAGAACACAGCAAGAAAGCAACCATCCTTAAACCAGGAAAAGTGTCTTCACAAGCTACTAAAACTGCCAGTACCTTGATGTTGGACTTACCAGCCTCCAGAACTATAAGAAATAAATGTTTATTATTTAAGCCATGCTGTCTGCGGTATTTTTGTTGTTGTCATTACACTAGCCCAAGCAGAATAAAACAGTAAGCATGGAACATTCACCAAGAGAACCAAGCTCAAGATATTTAGAAAGATTGAATTCATATAGGATATTTGTTTTTATTACATCCAAATGTGACTAGACATCAATAACAGAAAGATATACAGAAAATGCAGAAATTTTTTGAAATTATATATTATACTTATAAATAGCCCATGTGTTAAAACAGAAGTCACATTAGAAATTAGATAACATTATGAATTAAATAAAAATGACACAAAATATCAGATTTTGTGGCCTGAAAGTAAAGCAATATTTAGAAGAAATTTATAACATGCTATATGCTGTCATAACATTAGTGTAAATATAAATGTTTACATTAGGAGACAGTTTTCAAATCAATGATCTAATCTGTGATTGTAAGAAATAACAATGAAAAGAGAATTAAATCCACATAAATCATAAATAAGTCCCAATAAACATGAGTTAACAAAAGAAATCAATAAGATTAAATACAGAAACAAACAGAGCAAAAAAAAGAAATTGAAGTTGTTTCTTTGAAAATATCAAAGAAATAGTTATATCCCCAGCCAGACTTAACAAGAAGAAAGACAGAAGATACACATACTCAATATACATTATCAACTTTTAAGATTTTAAAATAACAATGAAAAATATTACAATCAATTCCATATCCAGAAATGTGACATTAGATATAATTGAAAAATTTCTTGAACCAAACAATTAAAGTTCATCTAGAATAGATAACTAAGAATATCCCTAGAAATATTTGAATGACTAATAAATAAATTTAACTTGTTGAAAACTTTACTACAAACAAACAAAACAGGCCCAGATAGCTTCAATGATAAATGTCTGCAAATATTTAAGAAACAAAATCAGAGCTGAGCTGAATCAAAGGGAGATGAAGAAATCCATATGAAAAATCAATGAGCCAAAAGCTTGTTCTTTGAAAGAATAAATAAGATTGATATTTACTTATCAAATAATTGATATTTATTTATTAAATAATTTTGTATCAGAATGATGTTGGCCTCATAAAATGAATTAGGGAGGAGTGCCTCTTCTTTGATTTTTTTGGGAAATAGTTTCAGTAGGATTGGTACCAGTTTTCTTTATACAGATGGTAGAATTCAGCTGTGAATCCATCTAATTTAGAGCTTTTTCTGTTTGGTACAATTTTCTAGTAACTGATTCAATTTTGGAACTTGTTATTGGTCTGCTCAGGGTTTCAATATCTTCCTGGTTTGGTGTTTCCAGGAATTTATCCATTTCTTCTAGGTTTTCTAGTTTGTTTGCACAGCCATGTTCATAACAGTCTCAGGAATTTTTTTTTTTATTTCTTTGGGGTCAGTGGTAATGTCCCCTTTGTCATTTCTGATTGTCCTTATTTGGATCTTCTCCCTTTTTTCTTTTTTGTCTAGCTAGCAAAGGCTAGCTCAAAGGCTCCTAGAACTGATAAACAGCTTCAGCAAACTTTCAGGATACAAAATCAATGTACACAAATCAGTAGCAATTTTACACACCAAAAATATCCAAGCTGAGAGCCAAATAAAGAACACAATCCTATTTGCAATAGCCACAAAAAGAACAAAATACCTAGGAATACAGCTAACCAGTGAGGAGAAAGATCTCTAAAGTGAGAATTGCAAAGACTCCAAAAGCAATCCCATTACTGAGTATATACCCCCCCAAAATAAATCATTCTATTATAAAGTCACATGGAATTGTATGTTCATCAAAGCAGTACACACAATAGCAAAGACATTGAATCAACCTAGGTGCCCATCGATGGTGGACTGAATAAACACAATGTGGTACATATGCACCATAGAATGCTATGCAGCCATAAAAAGAATGAGAACATGTCCTTTGTAGAAACATGTATGGAGCTTGAGGTTATTATCCTGAGTGAATTAACACAGGAACAGAAAACTAAATACTTCATGTTCTCACTTATAAGTGAGAGATAAATATTGAGTATGCATGGACACAAAGAAGGGAACAATAGACACCAGGGTCTGATTGACAGTGGAGTGTGGGAGGATGGTGAGGATTGAAAAACTACCCACTGGGTATTATGCTGATTACGTGGGTGACAAAATTATCTTTACACCCATGCAACAAAACTGCACATGTGCTCCTTGAACCTAAAATAAAAGTTGGAAAAAACCCAAATTATGCCAGCTCTACATAAAATTTTCCAGAAAATCTCATATATTGAATTATTTGTCATTATTTATGGAATCAATATTATTCCAACACAAAAATTATTCCAAAGCTTTATAAGAGAATAAATCTACCAAACATATCCTTGTTCAATACAGATGCAAATAGTACCAACAAAATATTAGCAAATTTTAAAATGTGTATACATAAAGGATAATGCATCATTACTAAGTAGCAATAATCTCAGGAATCCAGATTTAATTCAATGTTGAACAACCAATATAATCAGGTAATATAATTCATCATTTCAACTAACTAAATGAGAAAAAAGAGAATCATCTTAATAAATGCAATAAAAAATTGGCAGACCAACATTTATTATAAAAATTATCAGCAAACAATGGATAGCAATCTGAAAAAGGTGATCTACTAAAACAAAACAACAGCAAACTACAGTTAACATTACATGCAATTGTGATAGATTGAATGCTCCATCCAAAATTGGCAAGAAGACAAGAATGTTTGATTATACCAGTCTTTATTCACATCATTATAGAGGTCTTAGGTTTTACAATAGGTAAGGAAGAAAAAAGGCATACAATCTGGAGAAGAAGAAATAAAACTGTGTCTATTCACAGGCAACATCATTGTCTACATAAAAATTCCCAATGTTTCTAACTAAAGCTCAACATTAAAAAAATAAATTTTGGATTTTTGGGGGATTAACTAGTAAAATTTAAATAAAATTATTATAACTGACAATACCACTCACAGAGAAATACTGAAGGATAAATCTAATAAAATATGTGCACAATCTATAGGCTGAAACTGCAAAACTCTAATGAAAGCAATAAGAAAAGATTCAATTAGTAGAGAAACATGCACTATACTCATAGATTGGAGGATTCAATATTGTTAAAAATGTCAACTATCCCCAAATTCAACCTTGCAAGAACCACATTTTTTTGTATAATTGACAAGCTGATTTTCAAATTTGCATGGCAAAGGAAAGAAATTAGAATTGTCAAAACAATTAAAACAAAAGAAGACTCACAGTAACTGTTTTCAAAAATTACTATTAAACCACAACATTCAAGACAGTGTAGTATTGGTGAAAGATGAGACACACTGGATATATTCTATAGCATAACTAATTGATAAAATTGCCCACCAAATATACCAGTTAACAGGTTTTAATCAACATTCCTGGATTATGACTGAAGTATTTTTCCTTCTTCCTACTTTTTCCTTTCCTTCCTTCTTTCCTTCCTTCCTTCCTTCCTTCCTTCCTTCCTTCCTTCCTTCCTTCCTTCCTTCCCTTCTTCCTTTCTTTGTTCCTTCTTTTTCTTTTTCTTTTTTCTCTTTGTTTTGGGATTCTTTACTCCTTTCTTCCTCCTCCTCCTCCTTTGCTCTTTTTTGAATTATTATTTCACAACATGGTCTAGAATGAGAAAGACATGGAATTAATGCCTGATTTCTATGCTCTGGCAGTGTTCTTTTTTTTTTTTTCCTCCAATTACTTAAACTTCAAGATTCAGTTTTCTTAATTCTGAATTGGAGATATCCATATCTACCTTATGGGTTTTACATACGTATATAGTGAGAAAGGAAATGTGAACTTTTTTATTAAAATAATATTTAAATTATTTTTGTCATTATTATAAAATAATCATTTATATCATCGTTATAAAATATGTTCATATTCTTCAATTTAAAAGCAAATTCAAACCAAATCAAAAAACAATAATAGATACAACTAAGGCTGAGATTACTTGCACATTAAATATAAAATACTTATATTTCCAATTTATAGTCAGAAAATAACTTACTTCCTTCATCCTATCCTGCCAATGACCTTCTTTACTGACCAGTGTAAGTTTTCAAGGAAGCTGTAATTCCTTAGCGCAGAACAGTGTAGCCTTGAGTGTAGGAAGATATTTTTTGCAATGAGTGGGCTCTAGCTAAGACTAATCCACGTCTTCTTACCTTATTCTGTAATAAGTAACCAGAGGAAAATAATGTTGCTGCTTCATAGTGACACGTTTCAGGCCATTCATCAAAGATTGGTTAGCTAGTGCTTCTAAAATTTTTCATTGATTGCATTTACATGAGTCATACTTTTTCATTTATACAAGTTCCTTAGCATTACATGACAGTAGTGTATTACATTTGTTGTGACAGTCATATTAAAGTCCAATTATCACTAGTTATCATCATGACAGTGTACTCATTCTCTAGATTATCTAGCCTATTTCCACTGATATTAAAACACATTTTTCCAAGTTAAAGTAATATTTTTTATAACATGTCTTTTTACTCTACTTACTCATACATATGATCTGGGCCAGAATAGCTTTGTTCCTCTTCTCCTTTAATAGAAAGTCCTCACTGAATTTCATATGCTAGCTTCAAACTTACCTCTTTTTTCTGAGTTTTTAGTAAATTTTTTATTTTTGGCTCTGAAAACACTTATTTGTAAATATTTTAAGGTTGTTGGGTGTTGCTGCTGGGTGTTACCTCTTTGGATTGATTGTAAATATCCTGATGGGTATTTACTGTGGAATGGGTTTTCCAGCTTTTTTACTTTTTCTGAAGTGTTTAGCATTTAACACACAATTGGTGTTCGATGAATCTTAACAGAGTCACTGACAAATTGATGTAAGCTTTCAGTCTCTAAGAAATCCATGACTATATTTTAGAAAACATTTCTGTGGAATGTCTATTCATCCATCATGCTTATTTTCCTCTTGGTATTGCAAACTGTACATGTTTTTCTACCATTAGCATAAATACCTGCACAGTATCCTTCATGTGTTTCCTTTGCCACAGACTTTTCCCCATAACTGTCATTAGGCTTGCATTATGCATTTTAATGCATAATGGAAAACCTGCGTGCATTGTGCACAGTAGCATAATGTATTCTTCACGGTGATAAGTTATGTTTCATGTAATGTCAGTTCCTGTTCTTGAATTTACTCTGCTCTCAGTAGATGTGTTTCAAATTAATAGAGCATTAGTCCCTAATCAAGGAAGTATTTAGAAATATATTTTTAATTAAAATGAACTACTGGGAGGAATAAGTAGTATTAGAATTTTTGTGTTAATTTGAAATAATACATTACCCATGTATCTCTGTGCATTAGTAAAGACTAGATTATTGGAATTTCTGTAAACTCACTATAAAAATTAAGGCAAATGGAAAGAAGCAGATTTAATAGAACATTAGATATAAAAGCTTAAAATCACAGAAGCTATGATGGAAACCAAATCACAACATATATATTTGTAAAGACCTAAAGCAATTATATAATCAAGTCATCATCTTACTTATAAGCAATGAGCACTACAAGACAGATGCATCACCTGTTTTTAATTACAGAGAATGTGTGGCCACCCTTTGTTGTTGTCTTCTTTGCTGTTAAGAAATTTGTCACATTTCAGCTACAGAGAACGATAAAGCCAGTCTACTTGTTTGTTTGTTAAAATACATTAATCACACTTATAGAGCTCCAAAAAAATGCATTTTGCATCTTAGGTCTGCACTGTAAATGCCCAAGTTCTAACACCAGAAATTCCATAGTTTACTTTTATACATTAGCAAAAGTGCTGATAATATGAAAAACAAGCAAAACAAGATTCAGATCTGCCAGATATCACCTGTGAAGAGACACAATCTTATCTTGCAGATTACGTGAATTAATAGTAGAAATGTTATATATTTTCAGTAACTGGAGCCTGAGGTCCTTTCATCTTATTAAAATTATAGCAAGAAAAAATTATTGAATATGAAAATATTATTTGGATCAAGCTTATTCTTTTGATGTGATCTTATCAAGAAACAAATCTATGTAATATTTGTAATCCACATACCGGTAGGGCATGGGTGATAACTTTCTTAGTAACTCTTTCAGGATATACATAAGGTTACTTAGGGCATGACATAGTACTCAGCAATTGAAAATGAACTTTTAAAAAGAAAGAGATTCCTTCTCCAAAGTATAAACTTACACAGCATCCCATAGAGAGTCTTTGAATCAGATTCAGAACCAAAATGCAAAAAGGGGTGAAGATCTATTGTCCCAGAGAAATTACAGACTCATATGCTTTTCTTACAGCTACAAAGACTCAAAGCTAGGATTAATAGGCAAAGGATAGGAACTATCAATGACAAGTTCTAAAATCCTTGAAGCAAAAACAGTACATCCCTGGAAAAACAGTCCGAAGAGGATACAAATAAACTTGTCTAATGGCTATGTGAGGAGGATGCAAAGATGGTTGACAATATCTCTTATATATCTTCTATAATTAATTTTATACAAAAAAAGCATAATGTGCTATTTGCAATTCTCATTACAGAACTTCGGTTCTGGTGGGATTTACAAAGTTTTCATTGTGTTTGTAAATAATTAAAATCTTATCTACATTTTTGTATGCAAATATCTGGATGAGGCAGATATCGCAGTAAATATTTTGGTTATGTTAGAATAAAGCTAGAAGAGCAACGCCTCGTTCCTAATTTGATTTAAAGGCACATTTAATTTTCTGTCTGGTGTGCTGGTTTTCCCCAAAAGACCTCAATTAGGATGGTGGCTCACATTTAGAGAAGCTGAATAAACTTTTAGCAATGTCAATTACTAGTTTAGGGTGCTTAAGCAATTTTCTCTCTCCAAGCTTCACATGGCTCAGCCATAAAATGTAAACAATAGTTACTCAACAAAAGTTTTGTGAAGACTAAAGGATACAATGGACATTTCTATATCTAGATCAATGCCTAGCATATATTAGCCACTCAAATAGTTGTATGAACTATTGTACATAATAGACTTTACACTGTTCCTAATGTTATTGTTCACAACTTTATAGCACTGTTTGTAATTTACATATACTTTAGAGATTTTTTTTAATGAATGAATGATCACTTTTCAGTCTCACATGAAAGCATGATCAATAGAAACAACTCTCTTAGCACTAGCCTGTAAAGCCATTGTGGCTTTATTACAAGGAGCAGATGCCTCAGGATTTCTATGCTCAGAAGTTACTACAATAATTTAGAAAGATGAAACAAATTATTCTGTATCACTGGATGCTTAAACAGGCAGTTATATGTGTGAATGCTTCCACTTACCAGATTTGGAGAAACAGCTGTTGTTTATATGGAACTTGGAGTTTATTATGTATGTGACTCAAGTTCACCCTTAAAAACTAGAATGCAACCTTGTGATTTAGTATTCGCCTCTGCGCTCCTCTTTAAGTAAAAGCCCCCCATGAGTACTGGTGAATTATTCTTAAAAAATCTGAAGGCCCAAAGAAGAAAGATAAATATACAAAAAAGTGATATTTGCAAACCACCTCAAAATGACAAATAATTTGATATAGTATATAAACTTCTCTTGAAAGTAGTCATTTCTCTGCTTTATTTGTGTTCAAATTTACCTCTGGATACTGGCAAAAAGCAAAACCATATCATACACTCCCCAACCCTTACCAAAGACTTCTGACATTAAGCTCTTGCTGAAATATGATTTGGGGTCACTTTACTGCTACAGATTAGAAGAATTACGAGTGTTTTCATTGAGAGTAGCTTTTTTTACATAAGTAACAAAAGGTAAAATAATCACACAGATCATATGTCAATATGTCTTCCATATGTTGTATATACAAACTATAAATGCATGTAGATTATATATGTAGACTACTTAGAAATACACATACACAGTCTTACTTCAGTACCTTTCAGGTATAATAGGTGGCAGGCAGATTGAAAGCATTTTATTTATGGTGAGACATTGAGAAAGGTTGAGCATAAATAAAATGGAAATCAAATTGCTATTAGAGTCAAATAGTTAAGCATGAGCCTAACCATTGCAAGGAAATTAGAGGAAAGAAAAATTGAGAATTAAAAATATATTTTATTAACCAACTTTTAGTACTCTCTTTAATGGGAATGTACCACAAGTTCTACTAAAATAAATGCGGTAACAAAAATGCTTCAAAATGCGTATGCATGGGAGCTGGGTACAATGTTGAGAACAAGTGCAAGTGATGACTTGATTCAGTTAAGGTGGCTGTCAGTTTAGTTTACTATCAAACCTGCAACAAGCTGTGTAGAGGACAAACACAAGGTTAAGAACACAGTGAGCAGGATCACTCATGCCTCCTTCGTTCATCCTGGGATGCACCAATAATTCTGGAGATTCAGCAGCATGCTTGTTGCAAGAAATACATTAGGACTAAGGAATCCCAAACAAAAAGTTCAGCTCACTACAACAGAAGGAAATTCTTGCTGTTGCAAAGTTACACACAGCCACATGACATTTCTCATGTCAAAACTTGTCCCACTGCAGGTTTCAGTGTAGGTGGCCTGGCAATAGCTTATCAAGAGGTAGGAGCAAGCACATGGTGTTTGGTATTTTCATAAATTACTCTCTCCTACAATTCCCTCCCCTACTTTGGAGAAATTGAACACTGTATGGTATGTTTTTAAATGATTTTTTTACATTAATATATAATTTATATTAATCACTATTAAGATAAACTACTACTGGAATATTCTCAACAAGATTCCACAGAAAGTAAAACAAATTCCAAAATATGTTCCTTGGGAGAATAGTCTCTCAAAATAACTACAGTGGTAGACATAAGAAAATACAAAATATATGCTGCTAAATGTCTCAGTTATGAAACTTAATCGAGGTTTCTCACTTCTTTAGATGATGTAAAAAGTTGAAAAGAATATTGCACCTGTCATTACAACAACAGAGAGCTGAGGATACAGGGCAACCAAATAACCAAAAAGTAATGAAAATACAGACTTCCTCCAAGGAGAAAAGGTACATGCATTTGCTTACCTGGGGCAGATTTTGCCAAACATCATACAAGTTGGTAAAAAAAAAAAGGCTAAAATTTTAACAAAGTGTTGAAGCTTGATTGTGGACTGGCATGAGAAGTTAGGAGTTATGCACACTTTATACAATCATTCAAATGATTTTCTCCATGGACATCACCAGGTGCTCATAAGAAACATTTGGGCAAAACAAGAGTCTGAGAAAATATCCCTCATGGTATATAAATGTACCTCATGGGGACAGAAATAGTAGCTTTTGCCTGAAAGGCTCAAAGCCCTCCATGAATCCATTTTCCCTATCTTTCCTAAGGAACCTTAACATATTGGAGGAATAGCAGCAAACACTGTTATCATTGTGGCATTGCTGTAAGCCCACTGTATCTAAAGAAAGAGAACAGAAAAAAAATTCTGTCTCAGGAGATGGGGAAGGTGTGGAGAGGTGCAAATACAGCCTTGGCCAAAACAATTAAAACTCAGGAGAAGAAGTCATGAGAACTCTTTACCCCTGAAACCCAAACACGATGCCTGCTTAAGACCAAGGCCAAGAAAAATCAGAAGAGAATATCCACTCCCCATATACCATCATGAGGCCAATAAGCATAAAAAGGTAAGGAACACTGTCTTCAGAGAAAGGGATAAGAGAGATGAGGCACAGTGCAAAGTAATCCTGGCATATTGAAAGGCCAAGGCAGGAGAATCTCTTGAGCCCAGGAGTTTGAAACCAGCCTGGGCAACATGGCAAGACCCTGTTTATACAAAAAATATAGAAAATTAGCTTGGCATGGTGGCACGTGACTGTAGTCCCAGCTACTTGGGAGGCTGAGGTGGGAGGATAGCATGAGTCTGGGAGGTTGAGGCCACAGTAAACCATTATTGCACCATTGCACTTCATTCTCAGTGACAGAGTAAGACTCTGTCTCAAAAAACCCATTCAAAATACAAGTTAAACTAGAGACATTTGAAATCTACGTTGCAACAGGGTAAATGTAATAACGCAACCCAAACATAGTTCTATTCCTGACAATGTTAACACAAACTGCACAATAAAGGCCTATCATAAGAATATTCACGTCCACTTCCAGGCATAAAGCTCTTCATTTCAGTGTTTACTGTCCTACCCAACAACATGGATGAATCTCAAGTGATTTATACTAAAAGAAGGTGAGATACTGTATGATTACATACACATGATGTTCTGGAAAACGTAAGACAACAGGGAAAGAAAACAGACCAATGATTGCCAGGACCTGGAGTTGGGGGAGAGATTAACTACAAAGGGACATGGGTTAATTTTATTCTATATTTTGATGGTATTGTTGGTTTTACAACAGAATACATTTGTCAAAGTGTGCAGAACTATACACCAAAAAGGGTGAATTTTAGTTAGAAAGTTGTACTCTGAGAAAATGAAAATAAATTATAAAATATATAATAGACAAGAGATTTTAAAAATGGGAATATTACAGTAAATGTATATGGCATTTTTAGATAGCTCTTAATTTCTAAATGCCAAACATGTGGGGCACACATAGAAGTGAGGATATAATGAGACTATTTCCCTTTTGAAGAAACAAAAGCACATTAGCATATTAAAGACACTGACTGTCCTAAATAAAGAAAAACTATATTTTTTTAATGTGTGTAACACGTCTCAAAGGAATACCATTTTATGGAACATACATTGAGATAAGAGGACTTTACAAGGTCTAGACTTTGAAGAATCCATTACTGTGTACTGACTAAGAAGCATTTTTAAGGAAGTTATTTTAGAGAAGTACAAAATTGTCACTGAAGAAAATAATATATCTCTTCATCCCCCAATGGATAGTTGAGTTGAAATAACTGGCCAGTAAAATGTTATTCTCTCAGTGTTAATGCTACCATAGCTGTGTAAAATTAGCCCCCCAAAACTTGGAGCCATGTCTTTGAAAGACCCAGTTGGAAATCACTGCATGATCAATGCCAGGAAGGGCTAGCTGTGTAAATTTGGTAATACAAAGAAAAATAAAATTGAGAGAAACCTTTTCCAAAAAACAGGGAAATAAAATTGTCATTAAAAGTACTAAAGATAGAAGGTTCTGGGAAGATGGTAGAATAGAAAACCCCAAGAATCTGTCTCCCCACCTAGACAACAACCGCACTGGTGGAATATGTCTGACATCAATATATTGGAATTCCAGAATTTGTTGGAGGCTTGAAAATTCTAAAAGGCTTGGATAGGGAATTGCAGTTAATTTTGGACAATTTAAGCTTTTAACACAGTAGCGGCTATCCATTTCTCAGCCCCAGACTTGGGGCAGGCAATTGTGTATGTCTTCCTGGAGCAACCTGCACTCAATATACAGAGCCAAGGTGGGCAAAAAAGGACCCTGTCTTCAAATATCAGAAATCTATGCACTGATTGTTGATTGCTACTTCTGATCACAGAGGTGCAGGCAAAGAGGTAGGCAGCCATTATGCTGCATCTCCTCCCAGAGGCACATATATATATATATATAAACCCTCACATATGTGGTCGAATTATTTTTGACAAGGATGCCAATACCATCCAATGGGGAAGGGTCAGTCTTTTAAATGTATGGTGCTGGGAAAATTTCAAAGAATGAGGTTGGATCATAAAGACAAATAATGACATGAGACTCTTACGTAACACATATACAAAGATTAACTCAAAGTGGATCAAAGACTTAAATGTACTACATAAAATTATAAAACTCTTAGAAGAAAATATAGGGAAAATGCTTCATGACATTGGATTTGACAGTGCATTCTTGGGTGTAACAGGAAAGGCATGAGCAACAGATGAAAAAATAGACAAATTAGACCACAAAAATGTAAAAAATAAGTGCATCAGAGGATACTATCAACAGTGTAAAAAGACAACCCAGAGAATGGAAGAAAATATTTATGAATTATGTATTTGATAAGGGATAAACATCTAGGATACATAGAGAACTTCTAAAACTCAACTACAACCACCACCACCACAACAACAAATATTGGATGAATAACTTGAAAAAATGGACAAATAACTCGAATAGAGATTTCTCCAAAGAAGATATCAAATAACCAATAAGCACATGAAAAAATGCTCAACATCACTAGTCATTTGAAAACTGCAAATTAAAACTACAGCGAGAGACCATCCCATGCTCATTAGAACAGCTACAATTAAACAACAACAAAAAAAGAAAATAACAAGTGTTGTCAAGATTAGGAGAGAGGAGCAGGTGGAGCAAGATGGCAGAATAGAAAGCTCCACCAATTACCTCCCCCTCACCCTGCAGGGACATCAAGTCAGCAACTGTCTACACAGAAAAACACTGTCATAAAAAACAAAACTCAGGTGAACACTCACAGCACCTTGTTTATCTTCATATCGCCGAAAGAGGCTCTGAAGAGATAGAAAAAACAGTCCTGAATCACCAACACCACCACTCCTCAGCCTTTGGCAGTGGTGATGTGGTGTGGAGACCATCTCTGGGTGCTTGAGGGAGGGAGACCACAATTGTGAGGCATTGAACTCAGAGCTGTCCTTTAAAGCACAAAGGAAAACTGGACCAAACTCAGCAGATGTTTGCCCACTGAAGGGGCATTTAAACCAGCCCTAGCCAGAAGGAAATCACTGATACCAGTGGTCCAAACCTGAGTACCCACAAACCTTGTCATGGAGGGCTACAGCACTCTGTGTCTCCAAGTAAACTTGAAAAGCAGTCTAGAACATAAGGACTGCCAACTGCCAACTCTTAGTGAGTCTTAGTGCTGAACTAGGCCTAGAGAGACTGGACTGAGGGGGCAGTCAACATACTGAGACACCAGCTGGGGCAGCCAAGGGAGTGCTGGCATCACTCGTCCGTTAACCCCTGGCTATAGGGCTATTGACTTCAAAAGAGACTCCTTCCTTCAGCTTGAAAAGAGGAGTGGGAAGAGTGGGGAGGACTTTGCCTTGCCTCTAGGAAACCAGCTCAGCCACAGTAGCACAGGACACTGGTCAGAGTTGTGAGGCCCCTGTTCCAGACCCTAGCTCCCAGATTATATTTCTAGACACATTGTGGGTCAGAGTGGAACCCACTGCCTTGAAGGAAGGACCCAGTTCTGGCAGAATTCATCAACTGTTAACTGAAGAGCCCTTCGGCACTGAATAACCCCCAGTGATACTCATGTACTACCTCAAGGGCCTTGGGTGAGTCGCTGAGACTTGCTGGCTTCAGGTGAAACTCAGTACATTACCAGCTGTGGTGGCTATTGGGCAAAACTCCTGCTGCTTGAGAAAAGTGGAGGGAAAAGTAAAGGGGAATTTGTCTTGGACCTTAGGTACCAGCACAGTCACCAGGGACTAAAGCAACAAGTGGGCTCTTGGGGTCCCCTGGCATTTTGGGACCTGCCCTGGGCCAGAGGAGAGTCCACTGCCTTAAAGATTGTGTCCCAGGCCAGGCAGCATTCACGTCAAGCTGACTTAAGAGACTATGAGCCTTAAGGGAACATCAGCAGTAGTCTGGCAATACTCCTGGTGGCCTGGAGTGACTGTTGGTACAGGATGAAGCTCCTCTGCCTTTGGAAAGGGAGGGAGGAGTGGGAAGGACTGCATCTTGTGGTTTGAGTGCTAGCTCAGCTGCAGTACAATAGAACACCAGGTAGACTTCTAAGGTTTGTGACTCTAGTACCTGACTCCTGGAAGGTGCTTCTTGACCCACCTGGGGCCTGGATAGACCTCACTTCACTGAAGGGAAGGATACAGGCCTGGCTGGTTTTGTAAGTGGCTGATTGTGGAGCCCCAGGGCTTTGAGAGAACAGGGAGCGGCTATGGCAAGCCTTGGGCGAGATCTAGAACTGTGCAAGCTTCATGTCTGATCCAGTGTAGTCATAGTGGTGTTGGCCACAGGGGTGCTTGGGTCACTACTGATTTAGGTGGCTCAGAGCAGAGAGAGTGAGAGACTCTATGTTTGGCAGAAAGTAAGGGAAGAGAACAAGAATCTCTGCCTCATCTCCAGAGAATTCTACTGGATCTTGTCCAAAACAATAAAAGTAGTAACCTCTATGAGTCTGCAAGAACCACAGAGTTACTGGGCTTGGGAATGCTCCCTAAAGCAGATAAAGCTTAGATCATGATGCCTAAGTCTTTTCAAATATCTGACAAGCCTTCCCAAGAATGATGTCTACAAAAAAGCCCAGACAGTGAATACTCCAATAAATATATAACTCTTTGATGCCCAGACGCTAAGGTCATCTACTAGCAACAACATTATCCAGGAAAACATGGCCTCACCAAATGAACTAAATAAGTCCCCAGGGATCAATTATGGAGAAACAGAGGTATGTGACCTTTCAGACACAGAATTCAGAAGAGCTATGTTGAAGAAACTCAAAGAAATTCAAGATAACACAGAGAAGGAATTCACAATTCTATGAGATAAATTTAACAAGGAGATTAAAATAATTTAAAAGAATCAGACAGAAATTCTGGGCTGCAAAATGCAATTGGCATACTGAAGAATTCATCAGAGTTCTTCAAGAGCAGAGTTGATCAAGCAGAAGAATTAGTGAGCTTGAAGATAGACTATTTGAAAACACACAGTCAGAAGAGACATAAAAACAGCAATAACAATGAAGCATGCTTACAGGATCTAGAAAATACCCTCAAAAGGGCAAATCTAAGAATTGTTGGCTTTAAAGAGGAGATAGAGAAAGAGATAAGGGTAAAAAGTTTACTCAAAAGGATAATAACAGAGAACTTCTGAAATCTAGGGAAAAATGTTAATATCCAAGTACAAGAAGGGTATAGAACACCAAGTAGATTTAACCCAAAGAAGATTACTTCAAGACATTTAATAATCAAATTACCAAAGGTCAAGTATAAGGCAAGGAAAAAGCAGCAAGAGAAAATAAAGAAATAACATACAACGGAGCTCCAATATATCTGGCAGCAGACTTTTCAGTGGGAAACTTACAGGCCAGGAGAGAGTGGTATGACATATTTAAAGTGCTGAAGGAAAAGAAAATGTTTAACCTGGAATAGCATACTTGGCAAAAAATCCTTCAACCATAAAGGAGAAATAAAGACTTTGCCAAACAAAAGCTGAGGGATTTCATCAATACCAGACCTGTATTACAAGAAATGTTAAAGGGAGTATTTCAATCAGAGACAAAACGATATTAATGAGCAATAAATAATCACCCAAAAGTACAAAGCTCACTGGTAATAGTAAGTACACAGAAAAATACAGAATATTATAACACTGCGACTGTGGTTTGTAAACTACTTTTATCTTAAGTAGAAGGGATAAATAATGAACCATCCAAAAATAATAACTAGAATTACCTTTCAAATTATGTCAGTACGATAAAATACAAATAGAGTAAACACTCCAATCAAAAGACAGAATGACTGAAAGGATAAAAATAAAACTGAACCTAAAAATCTGTTGTCTACAAGAAACACACTTCACCTATAAAGACACACATAGACTGACAATAAATGAATAGTAAAAGCTATTTCATGCCAATGAAAACCAAAAAAGAGCAGAAGTTGCTATACTTATATCAGACAAAATAAATTTCAAGACAAAAATTATAAGAAGAGACAAAGAAGGTCATTATATAATAATAAAGGGGTCAATTCAACAAGAGGATATAATGATTATAAATATATATGCACCTAACACTGGAGCACCCTGATATACAAAAGAAATATGATTAGAGCTAAAGAGAGAGATAAGCCTCGATATAATCATAGCTGGAGACTTCAACATCATACTTTCAGCATTGGACATATCTTCCAGACAGAAAATCAACAAAGAAACAGTGGCCTTATTATGCACTATATACCAAATTACCCCAATAAATATTTACAAAACATTTGATCCAATGGCTGCAGAATATACATTATTTTTTCTCAGGACATGAATCATTCTCAAAGATAGAACATATATTAGGTCATAAAACACATCTTAAATTATTCAAAAATTGAAATAATATAAAGCATCTTCTCTAACCACAATGGAATAAACTAGAAATTAATAACAACAAAAACTTTGGAAACTATACAGATATATAGAAATTAAACAAATGCTCCTGAAAGTCTAGTGAGTCAATGAAAAAATTAAGAAGGAAATTGAAAAATTTCTTGAAGCAAATGATAATGGGAACACAACATAGCCAAACCTATGGGATATAGCAAAAGCAGTACTGAGAGGGAAGTTTATAGCAGTAAGTGCCTGCACAAAAAAAGGAGAAAAAAAAAAAAACTTCAAATGAACAATCTAATGATGCATTATAAAGAACTAGAAAAACAAGAACAACCAAAAAAATTTGTAGAAGAAAAAATAATAAAGATAAAAGCAAAAATAAATGAAATTGAAATAAAACAACAACAATACAAATGATCAATGAAACACAAGTTGGTTTTTAAAAAGTTAAATGAAATTGATAAACTTTTAGCCAGACTAAGAGAAAAATAGAGATGATCCAAATAAATAAAATGAGAAATGAAAAAGGAGACATTACAACTGATTCTGTAGAAATTCAAAGGGTTATTAGTGGCTACTATGAGCAACTATATGCCAATAAATTGGAAAATCTAGAATAAGTTGACAAATTCTAAGATATATACAACCTACCAAGATTGAACCACGAAGAAATCCAAAATCTGAACAGACCAATAACAAATAACAAGATTGAAGCCATGATAAAAAAGTCTCCCAGTTAAGAAAAGCCTGTGACCTGATGGCTTCACTGCTGAATCCTACCAAACATTTAAAGAAGAACTAATACAAATCCTATTAAAATGATTCCAAAGATTAGACGAGGAGGAAATACCTCCAAATTCAACCTATGAGGCCAGTATTACCAGTATTACCATGATACAAAACCCAAACCAAACACATCAAAAAAGAAAACTACAAGCTGATGTCTCTGATGAATATTGATGCAGAAATCATCAACAAAATACTAGAAAACCAAATTCAACACATGAGAAAGAGCATTCATCATGACCAAGTGGGATTTATCCCTGGGATGCAAGGATGGTTCATCATATGCAAATCAATCAGTGTGAGACATTATATCAACAGAATGAAGGATAAAAAACATATGATCATTTTAGTTGATGCTGACAAAGCATTTGGTAAAATTCAACATCCGTTCATGAAAAAAACCCAAAACTAGGTATAGAAGGAACATACCTCAACGTAATAAAAGCCATAAATGACAGACCCACAGCTAGTATCATAATGTATGGGAAAAACTTAAGGTCTTTTCTCTAAGGTCTGGAACACACCAAGGATGCCCAGTGTCACCACTGTTATTCAACATAATACATAATACCAGAAGTCCTAGCTAGAGCAATCAGACAAGTGAAATAATAAATAAAGGGCATCCAAATTGGAAATGGAGGAAGTCAAGTTGTCCTTTTTAGATGCTATGATCTAATATTTGGAAAAACCTAAAGAATCCACAAGAAAACTAATAGAATTGATAAACAATTTCAGTAAATTGTCAGGATACAAAATCAACATAAAAAAGCAGTAGCATTTCTATATGTCATAAATGAACAATGTGAAAAAGAAATAAAAAATTCCATTTACAATGACCACGCATAAAATACCTAGGAATTCACCAAAGTGAAAGATGTCTATAATAAAACTATAAAACACTGATGAAAGAAATTAAAAATGACACCAAAAAATGGAAAAATATTCCATGTTTGTGGGTTGGAAGAATCAATATAGTTAAAGTGTTCATGCTACCCAAAGCAGTCTACAGATTGAATGCAATCCCCATCAAAATATCAATGGCATTCTTTACGGAAATAGAAAAATATCCTAAAATTTATGTGGAACCAGAGAAGACCTAGAGTAGTCAAAGCTATCCTAAACAAAAAGAATGAAACTGAAGGAATCACATTATCTGACTTCAAATTATACTATAGAGCTATAGTAACCAATGCAGCTTGGTACCAGCATAAGAATAGACCCATAGACCAAATAGAACAGAATAGAGAACCCAGAATCAAATCTAAACACCTACAATTTACTCACTTTCAACAAAGGTGCCAATAACATACACTAGGGAAAAGACAGTCTCTTCAATAAATAGTACTGGAAAAACTGGACATCCATATGCAGAAGAATGAAGTTAGAACCCATCTCTCACCATATACAAAAATCAAATCAAAATGGAATAAAGACTCAAATCTATGACCTCAAACATAAAACTACTAAGCAGAGATTGAAAACATTGGAGAAACACTCTAGGACATTTGTCAGGGCAAAGGTTATTTGACCAGTACCCCACAAGCACAGGCAACCAAAAGAAGAAGAAATTGACAAATGAGATCACATTAAGTTAAAAAGTTTCTGCACAGCTTGGGATATCATCAGCAAGATGAAGAGATAACCCCTACCAGAATGGGAGAAAATATTTGCAAAATACCCATCTGAGAAGGGATTAAAACCAGAATATATAAGGAGCTCAAACAACTCAATAGGAAAAAAATCTAATAATCTGATCAAAAGATGGGCAAAAGATGTGAATAGACATTTCTCAAAAGAGGACATACAAATAGTAAACAGGCATATGAAGAGGTGCTCAACATCACTGATCATCAGAGAAATGCTGGTCAAACCTGCAATGAGATATAATCTCACTCCAGTTAAAATGGCTTTTCTTCAAAAGACAGGCAATAACAAATGCTGGTGAGGATGTGGAGAAAAGGAAACCCTTGTGTACTGCTGGTAGAAATGTAAATTGGTAAAACCACTAGGCAGAAGAGTTTGGAGGTTTTTTAAAAAACTAAAAATTGAGCTACTGTGTGATCCAGCAGTTCCGCTGCTGGGTATATACCCCTGAAAAAGGAATTCAATATACTGAAGAGATATCTGTACTCCTGTGTTTTTGTAGCACTGTTTACAGTAGGTAAGATTTGGAGGCAACCTAAGTGTCCATCAACAGATGAATGGATAAAGAAAATATGGTACATATATACAATGGAGTACTATTCAGTCATAAAAAGAATGAGATCCAGTCATTTGCAATAACGTGGAGGGAAGTGGAGATTATTAAGTAAAATAAGCCATGCACAGAAAGAGAAACATCAGATGTTCTCACTTGCTTGTGAGATCTAAAGTCAAAACAATTGAACTCATGGACATAGAGAGTAGAAGGATGGTTACCAGCTGGCGAGGGTAATAGGAGGCTGAGAGGAAGTGGGGATGGTTAACGGGTTAAAAAAATAGAAAGAATGAATAAGACATTATTTGATAGCACAGTAGGAGACTATAGTCCATGATAAGTTAATTGTATGTTTTACAATAACATAAAGAGTGTAATTGGGTTGTCTGCAACTCAAAGGACAAATGCTTGAGGAGATGGATATTCCTTTCTCTATGATGTGCCTATTTTACATTGGATGCCTGTATCAAAACATGTCATGTCTTCTATAAATATATATACCTACTATGTACCCACAAAAAGAATAAAAATAAAAAGAATTAGGGGAAATTGGAACCATTCTGCGCTATTGGTGGGAATGTAAAATGGTACAGCCACTGTGTAAAACAGTTCATCAGAACAGTATGGCAGTTCATCAAAAAATTAAAAATAGAATTTTCATATGATCCAGCATTTCCACTTCTGGATATATACCCAACAGAATAGAAACCAAAATCTTGAAGAGATATTTGTACACCCATGTTCATAGCAGCATATATTCACAATAGCTAAAATGTAGAAACAAACCAAGTTTCCATCCATGGATTAACAGACAAGCAAAACGTGTTATATACATACAATGAAATATTCAACTTTAAAAAGGAAGGAAATTCTAATATATGCTACAACATGGATGAAACTTGAGGAAATTATGCTTAAATGAAATAAGGCAGTAACAAAAAGACATATACTGTATGATTCCATTTATATGAGGTACTTAGAACATTCAAAATCACGGAGACAGAAAAAACAGTGGTTGCAGCATCTGGCGGGAGGGGGAAATAGAGAGTAATTGTTTAATGGGAATGTAGCTTCAGTTTGAGGAGACGAAAAGAGTTCTGCAGATGGATGATGGTCATGATTGCACAACATCAGACATGTATTTAATACCACTGAACCATAATACACTTAAAAATCATCAAAGTGGTAAATTTTATATGTATTTTACCACATTAAAAAAAAAGAAGAAAGGACTAAAATATATTTTTTCTTTTTTTTTTTTAGTCTCTCTCTAGATCTGTCATGGTATTTTTTTTTCTTGCAATTTAATGCCTGCATCCTCTACCCCGGTGACACTCACCTGATGAGTGCAAATGTTTGTAATTGTCCTAGGGCTCTGTCTCCTGAACTCAGTGTTCTGAAGCAGGGGAATTAGGTAGAGAACTAGTTTCTGTTTCTCTTGGCCTGCCACCCAAATCCACAGAGGTTGAGCAACCTCTTGCTTAGGTATTGGTTAGGGTATGGATGAGAGGCAGCAGCCTAGGGAGCCATGGTACTGTCAACCCAGCATGGGGATGGTCACCTCCATTCCCTGCTCTGAGACTGTAGGGAGAGAGAGACGGGATACCTGTCCCCAACATAGGCTATAGCTTCCTTCATTGTTAAATATCCACATTTCCTTGCTACACTCAGGGAGATTCTGGCTTACTTACTCTTTCCTGAGGCCCAGAAATCTATGTCAATGATTTTGATGTGCAGTCACATTTGAGAGTGAGATATGACACTTGTGAATTTGAGGACTAGAGGCTAGTACAAAGGCAAATTTTGAGTACGTGTGAGTTCTCATATGATATTAAATTGGCATCATAGATGAGAGTTTTTTCTGAGTGAGAACAGAATTTAGCTTAGATCAGTCTTTAAAAAAATGTAAAATTCTTCACACTTTACTTCTTAGAAGAGACTGAAAATTTGAAGAAGAGGGCAAGAGATTAATTTAGGATTTGGCATCAGAGGAGTTCCTCAGAAATGAAGTCACATAAAGACTCTTTAGAAGCAAAGTCATCTTATAACAAGAGAGAAATATTAGCAAACTTTTGCTTCACAACACGGAAGAAAATGGATCAGTTTACTTGAACTGTTTAAAAATAAATTTATATATTATTATATCTGCACAAAGCTAGATTATTTTTAATGTTAGCAAAGGAGAAAAATATTAATTTTTTACACAATCTTCTAATTGTCTCAGCATCATTATCTATAATTTATTAAATCGCTCAATAATTTAAAAAAGAAAATGTACTTAAAATATTTAAATGTTTTTAATAAAGAAAACAATTTTTAAGTTCTTAAGCTTATTTCAAGATAATTATAATTGTGATCACCTTCTAAAATAGCACCAAGGAACCTGTAAACATAGATAAGTTTTATGTATATATGTATAAGCAATCTCTACTCCAGTTCTTCTTTTCCACAGCTCTCAAGGGCATCTGTGACAATAATAAAACATCTAAATAAAGGACATCTAAAACAAAGAATATGATCCTGTTACTACCTTACTAGATTTTAATGGTTGTCTAATGTCTTCAACAAAAAATGTCAATTTCTTAGCATGACATAAAAGGACTTTAAAATTTGGGTGCTTCATTTCTTTCTATCTCTTCTACCATGCAGTCTTTATAGTTTCTAAATTTCCAGGTTTTCAGGGTTTCAGAAGTGCTTGCTTTCATGTAAGCTGTTTTCTGCCTTCACCTAGATAAATGCTTCTCTATTCTTTGATGCTGTGTTTAAATATTGCTTCTTTTTGTCTGTTTTAGATTTCACGAGATGTTTCTTCAACACACACACACAAAAAACAAAAGAGAAAGTGGGAGAGGGAAAAGGAGACAATCATAGTGGCAAAGTAAAAAAAAAGCTAGATGAGTAGGTTGCGAAAATTTTCTCCCATTTTGTAGGTTGCCTGTTCACTCTGATGGTAGTTTCTTTTGCTGTGCAGAAGCTCTTTAGTTTAATTAGATCCCATTTGTCAATTTTGGCTTTTGTTGCCATTGCTTTTGGTGTTTTAGACATGAAGTCCTTGCCCATGCCTATGTCCTGAATGGTAATGCCTAGGTTTTCTTCTAGGCTTTTTATGGTTTTAGGTCTAACGTTTAAGTCTTTAATCCATCTTGAATTAATTTTTGTGTAAGGTGTAAGGAAGGGATCCAGTTTCAGCTTTCTACATATGGCTAGCCAGTTTTCCCAGCACCATTTATTAAATAGGGAATCCTTTCCCCATTTCTTGTTTTTCTCAGGTTTGTCAAAGATCAGATAGTTGTAGATATGCGGCATTATTTCTGAGGGCTCTGTTCTGTTCAATTGATCTATATCTCAGTTTTGGTACCAGTACCATGCTGTTTTGGTTACTGTAGCTTTGTAGTATAGTTTAAAGTCAGGTAGCGTGATGCCTCCAGCTTTGTTCTTTTGGCTTAGGATTGACTTGGTGATGTGGGCTCTTTTTTGGTTCCATATGAACTTTAAAGTAGTTTTTTCCAATTCTGTGAAGAAAGTCATTGGTAGCTCGATGGGGATGGCATTGAATCTATAAATTACCTTGAGCAGTATGGCCATTTTCACATTATTGATTCTTCCTATCCATGAGCATGGAATGTTCTTCCATTTGTTTGTATCCTCTTTTATTTCATTGAGCAGTGGTTTGTAGTTCTCCTTGAAGAGGTCCTTCACGTCCCTTGTAAGGTGGATTCCTAGGTATTTTATTCTCTTGGAAGCAATTGTGAATGCTAATATCCAGAATCTACAATGAGCTCCAAACAAATTTACAAGAAAAAGACAAACAACCCCATCAAAAAGTGGGCAAAGGACATGAACAGACACTTCTCAAAAGAAGACATTTATGCAGCCAAAAAAGACGTGAAAAAATGCTCGCCATCACTGGCCATCAGAGAAATGCAAATCAAAACCACAATGAGATACCATCTCACACCAGTTAGAATAGCAATCATTAAAAAGTCAGGAAACAACAGGTGCTGGAGAGGATGTGGAGAAATAGGAACACTTTTGCACTGTTGGTGGGACTGTAAACTAGTTCAACCATTGTGGAAGTCAGTGTGGCGATTCCTCAGGGATCTAGAACTAGAAATACCATTTGACCCAGCAATCCCATTACTGGGTACATACCCAAAGGATTATAAATCATGCTGCTATAAGACACATGCACACGTATGTTTATTGCGGCACTATTCACAATAGCAAAGACTTGGAACCAACCTAAATGTCCAACAATGATAGACTGGATTCAGAAAATGTGGCACACATACACCATGGAATACTATGCAGCCATAAAAAATTATGATTTCATGTCCTTTGTAGGGACATGGATGAAATTGGAAACTGTCATTCTCAGTAAACTATGCAAAGACAAAAAACCAAACACCGCATGTTCTCACTCATAGGTGGGAATTGAACAATGAGAACACATGGACACAGGAAGGAGAACATCACACTCTGGGGACTGTTGTGGGGTGGGAGGAGGGGGGAGGGGGGAGGGATAGCTTTGGGAGATATACCTAATGCTAGATGACGAGTTAATGGGTGCAGCACACAGGCATGGCACATGTATACATATGTAACTGACCTGTACATTGTGCACATGTACCCTAAAACTTAAAGTATAATAATAATAAAATTTAAAAAATAAAAATAAATAAAAAAATAAAAAGAAAAAAGAAAAAAGAAGCTAGAACATGTGCCTGGAATACATCTTATAATCTTGATTTTGCAACTATTTTGTCTGTGACTTCTAAAATGCCACTTTATCCTCTGCCTTGGTTATTTCATTGATTAAGTAAGAAAGATGGACCAGATGACTTTAAAATTCCATTGTATTTCTTATCGTCATCTCTTTCTATGGACTTAAGAGTGAGGAGGGAAATAAATGAAAGTGAAGACAACATGGAATAAAATAGCAGAACACGGTCTCAGACTTTTGCCTCTCTTAAGAGACCAGAGATAGAGAGAGAAAATGTAAAGGTATGTGTACAAGTAGAGGGTGTGTTGAAAAATGGAAAATTATTGCACAGGAATAATCCTTACTTCTCTCATTACAAAAATGTTAATGCTTTAAAAAAAGAGAGAAAGAAATGGGAGCACATAATGAACAATCTTGAGAGTGAAGGGTAGTGGGAATAAAAAAAAATTGGACATGATTTGAACAGTTACAATTTATTTGTTTATCAAATATTTACTAAGCCTCTACCAAGTAGGGTTTTCTATCCTAGGCACGGGGACTAAAATAGTGAAGAAATATAAACAAGACAACCTTAAATTTTGCCCTTAAGAGTGTCAGGATGTACTGTTGGTTATACAGCATGAATTTCTGGAAGGCCCAATTTGTTTAAAGTATAATTTGCTTCAATAAAACTCAGCAGTTGGCTACTGGGGAGGAAGAGGCTGTTGGTGCTTCTTAAAGGTTTGGTGAAGAGACAGAGGTCAGAGATGAAGAATCTTAGGGTGGTTGTGAATTTTATTCAAAACATGGTTCTAGTTAGTTGGGAAGACAGATGAAGGATGAACATTAGAAGTCAGACACCAGGTCAAGATGAGGATGAGAAGTGAATATTTTCTAATTATGATATTCAGTTACAAACGACTCAAATTTATGATTTTAAGCAAGCTAACCGTAGCAGAAATACATAATGTACAAGGCAAGAAGCCAACATTCAGAAAGCAATGATATTACAACTAAATGAAAATTATTAACTCCAGTTGTACACTTGATTACCCTTGAGTGGCTTCAATTGATTTGGGTAAGACTCACATATGAGGAAATGTGAGATTTTATCCTGCATTTTTGGCTCAGTTCATAGTCCTCACACAAACCCTACAATGCAAGTCCAAGGAATTAGACAGCTTTGCATGAGATACTTTTTGAGTTGTTGTGGTTTGCTTAGAAAAAACAAAACAAAGTAATTTGGGAATATTTATAGAAGTGGGGTAACTTAAAGAATATTGTAGATGAAGACATATCTTTACACATTTATTCTCTTGAATATCAGTTGTTAAATAATTTGATCTTTTTACATGATTTTCAGAAAAATCCAGTGTAGCAGAACCTCCAGGATTTATCACCACGTTTAAAATACGTGAGTGGACAACTGTATATGAATTAGTTATTGGATTTTATCCTGAGACATAGAGATTGTCATGTCACCTAAAACAGTGATTCACTAAAAAAAAAAAAAAGGAAAGAAAAAAGAAAGGATAAAACACTTGATTAGGTTTTGCAAAAGGAAATTACTTTTAGTGAAACATGATTAAATATAATATAAAAATACAAATCCCATATTCTTTGCACTTCTTTAAATAGCAATTTACTATGTATTTGTTATTCTATAAATTCCTACTAAATGTAATTACCATATTTCTCATTTTCTTAAAACTGTTACTTGATATCAAGTTGAAACATCAAACTGCTTGGTTAAAACTAGGCCAAGTGTTATTGTCAACAGAAAATAATTTGATTATTTCTCCTGAAATAATGACAAGCTTTAATGCATGCAGGGCAGCACTGTAGGTAGGCTATCCCATACATGTATTCAACTAAATTGGAAAATAGAGACCATATCTAATTAGTCACAACAACAGTGACTGATACCCATGGCTTGGGATCCACACCTGTGTTTCAAACAGTGGCTTTACCAGTGACTTGAATTGGGCACACAGACTCTTCAAATGGCAGTAAATCCTGTTGGAACACAAGTTGGGCTACTGAAAATTATGAAATTATTTTGGGTTGCATGCAATGAAATTTCTTGAAGATATTCTTCTAGCAAATTCATTTTTATTCTTAAATCTATTAAAGGTAAAACTAAAATACATGGGGAAATCTGTACCTATTTTTACATACATTTTTTATTTATTAATACCTCAATTGTTAAACATTTATTCTGATGGTCCACTATTTAAGGAACTTGCATATACCTGAATGTGTTTTGTGTCACAGCCTACAGATGATAAAGCATTGCAATTATGCAGCTGCAGATTAATTCTTGGAGGGATTTTTCTGCTTCACTACCTCTTTTGTAGGTGCCAAAAATAAGTGCTGATTGTGCCAAGTTGTGTCTTTATCACCTGTCAAAGATCTCAGTGCACTGTCATATGACATCTAAGGTAAGTATGCATTTACCCTTGCTTCTGCCTTTCTCATTGCATTGTATTCAGAAAGCTTTCCTTTCTTTCATTAGCCTTTGTCATCTGTTGTATGAAATAAGCTTGAAGTCTTCACATGGTGATGTTTTTATTTTTTCTCATTTGCCTTTTCAAATGTGGTGACATTTTAAAGCCACCTAAAATGTTGAGACTAAAAAATTAAGTCTACCTTATTTTCATGGCCACTTAGCCATCTTTTGCTTTCAAGTTCATCAAACCATGACTAAAGGAATAAATGAAGAAGAGAGAAAGTAAATTCTGGACAAGCTCCAGAGAGTTTTCGGCCCAAATCTCTAAGAGACGATGTTGGTCACTGCTGTGAATCACATTCTAGAGTATTCTGACTCAATGCAACTGGTAAATATTAAGTATATGCTTTTGTGGATTAAATCTTAGTTTTCATTCCAACACTACTTAATCATTTGGATTGGCTTATTTGTTTGGTAAAATATCTAAATAAATAAAGCACAACTCTATATGCAAAGACAAAACCCTCAGGATCAGTTGTTGTTTTCTTTTTTAGGGACAGATTTGAAGATATTTTCTTTGCATTTGTATTTGCAAATGGCATGAAAGTATAGATACATTTTATAATAAAATTTTCTAGAAATACATCAGCCTTTTGCAATTATTTTCAATATCCGCAGCACTAAAATATATGCTGTATGACACCTATGGCTTTCCAATAATCTGGGGTTTAAATACAAGAATTCTGAAGAATAAAAATCATGATTTTTGCAGTAAATGATAGTAAAGCTAAGTCATTTCAATTATACAATCTAAACAGGGATAAAAGTAAATAGTATACTTACTCAGGTTTCTTCTACTTTTTCAGGTCATTAACTTTTAATTATCCAAAATGTTCAGTCACTATAAAGGAATTAAAATATATTTTATGTTTGGGTAATCGGTAATATAAATGTACTGCATTAAAATTCAGTAGGTGAGATTAAATATATTCATTTTTCTACATTAGGTCAGATTTTATTTTTCCTATTATTCATAAGGAAATAAAATATTGACATATTTTTGCTTCTATTTGTAAACATTTTAATTCAATATATTTTTATGAAGACTAGATTGAAAATATTACAATATAGTCTTCATATTTAAAATATTACAATCTAGTCTTCATAAAAAAGTTTTTTGCAAAACTCATCTGTCACTGAGAAGGTAATTATGTACTAGGAGTGAAAAAGCATAACTGATGCCAATGCTTACCTGATTTTGATGAATACACTTTGAAGGTTTGCTCTTCTTACCCTACGAAACACTGACAAAAATGGAAGACTTGCATAATGCCCTGTGGAGAAGACTGCCAGAGAATGTGCCGGGCCAAGAGATTTCACTTGGCATTTGCCAATGACCGGGATATACACCTGGTGCATTTGCTACATTTGTTGAAATTAGGATCATGAACTATGAACTGCAGAAACTGCAGGCATATACTTACTAAAAAAATCTATTTATATATGTAGATGTATGTATGTATGCACATATCTGTGCATGCATACTCACAATGTTGTTGTATAAATATTATATTTTTGTATATTTAGTAATAATTAAAATTATTTTTTCTAATTGAGTCCCTTTCATACTTTTGTGGTATAAAATGGAAAAGAGAGAAATGAGAAACAAATCGAAATCTGGATTCTGCTGTCTGGGAGATGTTTTCCAAAGGCTGGCTCTACTTACTGGGAGGTTCTTTTTTATTCATCTCTGTCACCTTTGGTAACTGTAGATCTTTCTCCTTACTACCTTTGGGGACAAAGGTTGTTTTTAAAGGCTTGGACACTAAAATAGTCTTTAGTCCAGGTTGTGGTTTCTTTGGAAATAAAACTTCCTCAAAACTTAGGAGACTTTTATTTCCTGCCTTCCAGTTTTATGTGCCAGTAATCATATCCAAAGTTTTTTTCTAGACATAATTCTTTTTATTTACTTATTTATTTTTTGAGACACAGTCTCACTCTGTTGCCCAGGCTGAAGTGCAGTGGCATGATCTCAGCTCATTACAACCTCCGCTGCCTCCTGAACTGAAATGATTCTACTGCCTCAGCCTCCCGAGTAGTAGAGACATGGTTTCACCATGTCTGCCAGGCTGATTTCAAATTCCTGACTTTAAGTGATCTGTTGCCTAGGCCTCCCAAAGTTCTGAGATTACAGGTGTGAGCCACCATGCCCTGCCTAGACATAATTCTTAAGCATTCTTTCTTTCATTCTCATCTTTCATTTCTTTCTCTCTTTTTCTTTGCTCCTTTCTCCCTTCCTTCATTTCTCCCCTTTTAATGGCAGACAATGTAAAGTTATTAGAAAATGTCTTCTTGGGTGGGAAGGTCAAACCTGATAATCTGATCCTCGCTGTAAGACTCAGTACTTGGATCAGTTGGGAAATCTTACTGGGCTTTTGGCACTAAGGAAATTTTTTTCAGTTTTATCTACAGCTTGACGCCCAACCATCATCTTTTCCAAACTATGAACTCTTGACCTGACCATAAAAGCCAGCCAATAATTATCTGAGCTTGTCTGTCTCTTGCAGTGCTTTGCTAGATGCAGCCAATAGTAACCAATATACATTCTGATTCTTTCCAGCCACTTCCTCTAAAATCACAGGTCCAGTTCTCACACGGTCTTACTTCTAACGTATTTCAGGCATCCATTTTATAAGTCTTTTCCATGGTGGAGCAGAGGGCTCCAGGCATAAGGCCCAGTCATAGCTGTGTCCTCACCACCATCTGACAACCAATAAATCAATGCTACACATTAGGTATTCTCATACCAATTTATGTTTTATGATAGTTAATGCTAGTTGGTAAAATGTCAGTTCCTGTATTTCAGTGAATCAACAAAATGGAAGTTAATAGTCACTCATACAGGGTTTGGTTGGTGGCAGGAAGGGGGCTATGAGTTTTATTTCTCATAGTCTTTTTCTCAGGTTCAATCCATCCCTCAGAGACTCAGTCTTTTACTTGATTCTGTGCATCTGGCTGACAGATGGGAAAGTAAGTAAGGGTAATACATGGGAAATTTTTATGGCCTAGGAGTGGGAATTACACACATTCTAAAACTTTTGCCCATTTCTGTTGGCTAAAATGCAGGCATATGGCTATACCTCACTACCAGGAGGTTTATATGTTCGGGGAAAAAAGAATGGATTATAGGTACCGTTGGTAAGTCTCTGTCTCTTTCTTTCTCTCCTTCTCTCTCTCTCTCTGTCTCTGTCTGTCTGAGACAGGGTCTCCCTCTGACATCCCGGCTGGAGTACAGTGGCACAATGATAACTCACAGCAGCTTTGAACTCCCAGGCTCAAACAATACTCCTGTCTCAACCTCCAGAGTAGCTGGGACTACAGGTGCATTCTACCATGTTCGGTTTATTTTTAAATATTTTTGTAGAGATGGAGTCTTGCTTTCTTGTACAGGCTGGTCTCGAACTCCTGGCTTCGAGCCTTCCTTCTGCCTCTGGCTTCCAAACTGCTGGAATTACAGGCATGAGCCACTGTACCCTGCCTAAACTTTCTCTTAATTAGAATTCAGATTATTTGAATATTTCTTTCTTATAAGTCATAGATTTGTGTAAGTTGCTTTTCTTAAAAAGGCAAAGTGTTTCCTTGTCTATACTTTCCATGTTCCATCAGGACAATTTCTTAATCGCATAAAACAGATATTGACAAATTATGCCGCATGGGTTGGCTGGTTATTTTTGTAAATAAAGTTTTATTGGAACACAGTCTTTCTCATTTATGTACATATTGTCTATGGCTTCTTTCACACTACAAAGGCAGTGTTGATTAGTTCCAATAGAAACCTTACTTTTAAAAAAGCTTGTTGACTCCTGACTTATAAAATGCAAAATTAGCTTTGCATATATTTGCTTAAAACAGTGAATAAAAAAATGCTACTTTTTCCATACATGATCTTCTTATTGATCTCAAGCCAACCTCAATAATATTTTATTTAAGGAAGTGAATGATGATTTACCTTCTTTTTAACTTCACAGCATCATTTTCAATACCTGAGCATCGGAGAATTAAATGCTTCATGTAGGAAATAACATTTAATTATAAAATCAATGTGATTTTGGCGAACTCCCAGACACAAAATTCCTTTCTGTACCTATTTCCACTTGACCAAGATGCAGTAAAACAGAGAAATATTTTCAAAATATAAGTTGTCATACCTCCAAAGAGAAGTGATGCTGCATATTTGGACAATGACATATCTGGAATGTTTGATATATCATGGAATGGCCAGTGAATCCAAGGTTTATATTATGGGAAGATTTAATAATACCAAGTTTACATTGATTTTTCTTCAATGTCAGTATTATGGTGTGTACACAGTATCCTCAGTTTATAATCCTGGAAACTGACAGATCAATGTCACCACACAGGTAAGCTGTTATGTGAGGACTGGGACCACGACATCTGACATCACATCCATTAACAGTTTTCACTAGTCACAGCTCTTTTCAGATTATCTAGCCCACGGGTTTTTAGTTACTTTCCCAAATAGCCTCAACACTTCATGTTGTTGTTTTACCCTTTGATAAAATGAAAACTGCCTTTGCATTGAGCTAGGTGTTTTATATAACTTATCTAATTTACTCCTTAACAATGTTTAACTTGTTCTTTAGTATCATCATTACGCTGGTGAAAAAGGAACTCAAAGCAGCTAAGTAACTTGCCTAAGCTTACACAGAAAATACAAGTTCTTAGATTTGTTATTTTGATGAGCTATAGTTTTGGTTTTTTGCACTAATAAGTATTTTGTAGGAAACAAAGCAAGTGTGATGTATTAGACAGGTAGAGAGGGAGGAGACCTAGTAAATAGGGTGATTAGAGAAGCCTCTCTGAAAAGGCGATATTGATGCTGGCACTAAAATGAATCAATCATGAGAAACTCTTTTTCTTTCTCAGTAGAAGTAATAGCAAGTGTAATGGTATAAAAAAGAGGAATAAATGATGTTTTTAATTTTATTCAGCAGTATTCTAGTCATGATTCTTCTTCTGTTAAACACATCTATTAAGTGCTTCATTTCAGATATTTTCTTTTTTGGTTCAAAATTACTCATCTACTCCCTTTTTAGATGTTAAACACTGATACAATTTTCAGCATTTCCTCCGTCTTTGTCATGCTTTTGAACATCTTAAAGTTATAGTAAAGTTTGTTTCTGATAACTTCAAAATCTTAATGACTAGTGGTTTCGATCTATTGTCTATTATTGGTTTTTGACCATCTGTTCCTATATCCTGTCATGCCTGGTGATTTTTAATTGAGTGGTAATCTTTGTGCGTAAAAAGTTGTAGAGACTGAATTTCATCACCTTTGTTCAGAGAAAACTTAATATTCATTTGTTAGCCATGTGGCATATGGATAGATCACCTTGATTCAATTTTAAGTCAGATTTTTTCTAAGCTAGTTCCAGGTTTTGGCAGGGACAGTCTACTTCTACTTGGTTCTGACAAATCTGCAGGATAGATTTCCAGTGATCTCACCTAAAAGGCTAGTATTTTTCAGGTTTCTTCTTTTAAGTTGGACAGAAGGGTCCATTTCTTGTCACTCTAACACTATAAAATTGTTAAGAGCTCTGTTTAGTTTTGTGGCCTTCATCAACCATTTTTTCTCCGAATTTCTTGTATTTAGTCCTTCATGCAAAGATTAGGAACCAGCAAAGAATTGAGGTGAAAGGTACAGCAAATGTTACTTCATTTCCTGGGATTCCCTTTACTCCTAAATTGGCTGCTCAATTTCCTGTTGCCATATGGTAACCCAGAACTTCTATATTTTTTCTTTTCAATCCTAATGAATCCCTCCAAATATCTATGATGCTGCTTTCTGTTCACTCTCTCTGTCCTGCCCTAGGAATTTGCAAATGTGCAAAGTTTTTTTTTTTTTTTTAAAGTGGAAAATGTAGGATTTTCTTTAATGCATTTTTCTTCTCAAGATCTTGACTTCTCAAATCCTGGCTTCCTTGTCTGCTCCAACATTCCCCCAAACTGCTGTTTCCTTGTTTGTTTTAATTTTAACCAGCTTTAACAGTTTCTTGGCAGAAGTCTCTCTGACACAAGTTTATCATAGATGGAGGCAGAAGACAGGAAAGTGACTCCGGGTTTGAATTCCCTGTCTAGAGTAATAAATATGTTTTCATAGGCATTTAAAAAATCTCTCCATATAGGTCTTCTTGGCTATGAATGAAGATGATGAAGATAGTTTAAGAGATTATGATTATACACATTTATATACACACATACACAGACACACATACAGACACAGAGTCATGTGCCACATAATGACATTTTAGTCAAGGACAGGCCACTTAAGTGATGGTAGTCCCATAAGATTGTAATGGAGCTGAAAAATGCCTATCAATTAGTGATGCTGTAGCCATCACAATGTAAACACAATGCATTGCCTTGTCTATCTTTAGATAATGTTTAGATAGACAAATACTTACAATTGTTTTATAATTGGCTACAGTATTTAGTAAAGTAACATACTATACAGGTTTGTAGCCTAGAAGCAATATTTAGATAGATAAATACTTACAATTGTTTTATAATCGCCTACAGTATTTAGAAATGTAACATGCTGTACAGGTTTGTAGTCTAGGAGCAATAGGCTAAATGATATAGGCAGGCGGATCACCTGACGTCAGGAATTTGAGACCAGCCTGACCAACACGGTGAAACCCCATCTCTACAAAAAACACAAAACTAGCCTGGCGTGGTGGCACATGCCTGTAATCCTATCTACTTGGGAGCCTGAGGTAGGAGAATCACTTGAACCGGGGAGGTGGAGTTTGCAGCGAGCTGAGATTGTGCCATTCCACTCCAGCCTTGAAAAAAGAGCGAAACTCCATCTCAAAAAATAAAACGACCCCCCCAAAAAAGAACAACAACAACAACAAAAAAAAACAAAAACAAAAAACAAAAAACAATATAGCCTAGGTATGGAGTAGGCTATATTATCTAGGTTAGTGTAACTACACTCTATAATATTCTCACAATGATAAAATCACCTAATGATGCATTTCTCAGAACATATTCTGGTTGTTAAATAATGCATGACTCTGTGTGTGTGTGTGTGTGTGTGTGTGTGTGTGTGTGTATGTGTGTGTGTCCCCTAGCAGCATGCCTAGCATATAATAATCAAGCAGGAAATGTTGGTTCTTCTGCCTTTTCTTGTTTTATTCAAAGGTCATATTTTTAACTGCTCATTGATCCATATTTATCAGATCAGTGACATTTCCATGATATATATAATAAGGTTTGGATGATTATAGAGAAGAAATACATATGCAGAAAGTATAGCATGCTTGAATATAGTGCAAGAAATACATTTTATCTGCATATCAGTTATCTTTCTAAATATTAAATTTTTCATAAATTTTTATTATGATGTGCTTAATATGATTTAACATTTAATAAAACCAAATAAGTAAATTAAATAATACATAGCAAAAAAATGACCTATTTTACTTTAGTAAGATATTCAACACCTGGTAAAGAGAAAGAATATGAACTGATTGCATGTGGATGTGCTAAAGTCTATATAAAATGGATGAAGTGATGTAAGCTAGATTTTGTGAAAATACAAATATATTTTAAATCCATTTGTAGTGTTCCTTGCCAAGCATTCAAAAAATATTGTAAATGCTTTTGTCATTCTCATAAATGTGAAGATATTTTTACACTCATTTATTAAATGAATTCATCATTTTATTTACCATCCTATAAATTCTTTGCAAAGGTAGAAATCTACAGTAATTTATAATCCTCTCTTTGTTTACCATTTTTCATTGTGAGTTTCCTTAATTAGTGCTGTGGATTCATTTTCATGGTAGGTGATTACTTATGACTCCACTTTTCCAGGGCTCGCAGCCTAGCAGATCAATGAGAAACTCATTGCCTTGAAAGAGATTAGGTAATAGGTTTGTCAGAACCATTTGCTCCAGTCAAGAAATGTGTAAAATAAATAGATTGTTCTCAGAATTCCATTCAAGAATTGAACAATTTAATTATTATATTATTTATTTTCTTTGAAGAGAATGTGAACTAAATATAAATCCAGAAAATAACTTAAAAAGAAATTCAGGGAGCCCTAAGCCACAGAGAAATGAAACAGCTCAGAGAGAGGTCAAAAGTTCATTTTTCCCAATAGACAATAGGTATTAAGTAAAGTGATCATTGGGATTGATCAAATCAGACCAATCACCCTAGATGAGTTTCTCTCACATCTCCACCCAGCCTGGGGTTAGAATCGCTGAGAGTTTAGTTAGTTTAATCCGGGAGAAGGAGGCGGTCTGTTATATACACAGGAAGAGGAAATAAGCTCAATAGCAGCGGTTTTAACAATTTTGTATTTCCTGAACCAATAAAATCCTAAAGAATTTTTGAGACCAACACATTTTCCTTTGCCAAAGTAGGAAAATCATTTTTTATGAAAAGAAAAAGGAACTACCAAAAATAGTTACAACCATAATTTATTTCAGAAAAATAAGACTTTTTTGAAATAAAAGGATGAAAAGTGCAACCTAAAAGCATTATTTTAAGAAAAATAATAAAAGTGTTGAAAATTCTGCATATGCATGCATACACACACACACACACAAACACACACAGAGGTACATTATTTTCACTTAGTGCACCATTGAAACAAGAGCAGAGAACTGCCTTCATCTGAACACTGACTTAACTGACTGTTATAGAACCTTCTTTGTATGCTCCTCAGAGTGCACGTGGTGCTCTCATTTTATTATTTCATTTAACTTTTTTTATCAACCATGAAAGTTTTTATATGTAATATCTTCCAGTTTCTTCACTGAATTCCTTCAAGCTATCATTCTAATATGATAGTGTGCTTTATTTATTGTTTTGAGATTGAGTATTAATGTGTAGCATTTTTTAAATTTGGAAGGCAATTGTGTGTTTGAGAATGGAGAGAAGATGATAAAGCAAGACCTCCTTTCATCTCTTAAGCCTATAAGCTTGTTTTCCAATCCACTGATAATCTGAACATGCAGTTAGCCCTTTAACCAGTTTCTATGGTTGTATAATACAAGAAGTGCTAATTCAAGGCTTACACAAAAAGTTGCTGTGTTTTAGACATGTATTTGCACTCCAGGAAATTATTCAGCAGAATACACCCAAATGAAAACATTTATTAGATAAAGCACTGAATTCCAAACCTGCTACAATCTGACATTCACATAGCAACTATAAAGTGAGGATATGAATTTTTGTTGTTGGAGGTGGTGTGTTAAAGTATTTGAATTAATGACCAACACTTTTGAATTGAGACAACGAACGTATTTAAAAATGCTCAACATCACTAATGATCAGGGAAATGCAAATCAAAACTACAATTGTAATACCACCTTATTCCCATAAGAATGGCCATAATCAAAAAATCAAAAAATAGTAGATGTTGGTGTGTATGTGATGAAAAGGGTACCCTTCTACACGGCTGGTGGAAATGTAAACTAGTATAACACTATGGAAAACAGTGTGAATATGTCTTAAAGAACTAAAAGTAGAACTACCATTTGATCCAGCAATCTCCCTACTGGGTGTCTACCCAGAGGAAAAGAAGTCATTATACAAAAAAGATACTTACATATGTATGTTTATAGCAGCATAAATCGCAATTGCAAAAATGTGGAACCAGCCCAAATGCCCATCAATCAACTAATTGATAAAGAAACTGTTATATATATCATATATATGCAATATATATGATATATATAACTGTGACATATATATATATATATGATGTAATATACTACTCAGCCATAAAGAGGAATGAATTAATGGCATTTGCAGCAATGCCAAATGAATGGGATTGGAGACTACTATTCTGAGTGAAGTAACTTAGAAATGGAAAACCAAACATCATATGTTCTCATTCATAAGTGGAAGCTAAGCTAAGAGGATGCAAAGGCATAAGAATGTTATAATGGACTTTGAGGATTCAGGGGGAAAGGGTAGCAAGGGGGTGAGGAATGAAGAACTAAAAATTGAGTTCAGTGTATACTGCTCGGATGATGTGTGCACCGAAATCTCACAAATCATCACTAAAGAAGTTACTCATGTAACCAAATACCACCTGTTCCCCAAAAACCTATGGGAATTAAAAAAATTAACAACAGCAAATTGATACTTTTTTAAAATTATTATTATTATACTTTACGTTTAAGGGTACATGTGCACAATGTGCAGGTTTGTTACATATGTATACATGTGCCATGTTGGTGTGCTGCACCCATTAACTCGCCATTTAACATTAGGTATATCTCCTAAAGCTATCCCTCCCCCCTCCCCCCACCCCACAACAGTCCCTGGTGTGTGATGTTCCTCTTCCTGTGTCCATGTGTTCTCATTGTTCAATTCCCACCTATGAGTGAGAACATGCGGTGTTTGGTTTTTTGTCCTTGCGATAGTTTGCTAAGAATGATGGTTTCCAACTTCATCCATGTGCTTACAAAGGACATGAACTCATCATTCCTTATGGCTGCATAGTATTCTATGGTGTATATGTGCCACATTTTCTGAATCCAGTCTATCATTGTTGGACATTTGGGTTGGTTCCAAGTCTTTGCTATTGTGAATAGTGCCCCAATAAACATATGTGTTCATGTGTCTTTATAGCAGCATGATTTATAATCCTTTGGGTATATACCCAGTAATGAAATGGCTGGGTCAAATGGTATTTCTAGTTCTAGATCCCTGAGGAATCGCCACACCAACTTCCACAATGATTGAACTAGTTTACAGTCCCACCAACAGTGTAATCTAATTAAACTAAAGAGCTTCTGCACAGCAAAAGAAACTACCATCAGAGTGAACAGGCAACCTACAGAATGGGAGAACATTTTTGCAACCTACTCATCTGGCAAAGGGCTAATATCCAGAATCTACAATGAACTCAAACAAATTTACAAGAAAAAAACAAACAACCTCATCAAAAAGTGGGCAAAGGATATGAACAGACACTTCTCAAAAGAAGACATTTATGCAGCCAAAAAACACATGAAGAAATGCTCATCATCACTGGCCGTCAGAGAAATGCAAATCAAAACCACAATGAGATACCATCTCACACCAGTTAGAATGGCGATCTTTAAAAAGTAAGGAAACAACAGATGCTGGAGAGGATGTGGAGAAATAGGAACACTTTTACACTGTTGGTGGGACTGTAAACCCTTAGTTCAAATTGATACTTTTATGTAAAATTCCAGATTCCAAGCTTGTTTGGAAAATCCAAAGTGTTGGGTGACATTGGACCTCCATTACCCCATGGCAACAACTGGAGTAGTGGTAGCCTGCAGTCAAAACTTCAGTCTCTAGTCTCACAGCCCCCAGCAGCCCAATGGTTCCTTTCCACATGCTTCATCCCTGAGCACCAGGGATTGCCCTAAGTGGGAAGGCATCCCACTGCATACGTTTCCTAGGCCTGGTCTTGGCAGTATCTAGAGTTATAGCAGGTGAGTCCACTCCAACGAGTAGGGTTTTCTTCTTTATCTTTCTGCTTCCCACTGAATCCTTGTCACTCAGGATAGCTTGGTTCAGAGCACGTGGTCGATATATGTGTCGTGAATGAGTAAGTGGGGCAGGTAAGAGTGTGGGGCCTGGAAGCAAGATGAAATAGCTTATCTCTCTCTTGTTCTGGAGCTCTCTGTTCTCAGTCCTTGCAGTTATGGTTCCCGCAGCCAGATTGTGCTCTCTTAGGCCTATCTCCCTTGCCCCCATCCCCATAAATGGACTCTAGGGAGTTCAAGAAGCCTTCACTCTGGGCTAGAGAGGAAACCTGGGACAGGGGCAACATAGAGTTTGAGGCCTGCTAGTCCTGTCCTGTGGCCCTGTTTACCCCTCGTAGGCAGGACCCTGATCATTCCTGGAGCCACAATCTACTGGCAACAGGGAAATACCTACTCATGCCAAATGGCTGAGCAAACTCAAGGTGATGGCAGGGAGCAGGTGGGAAATGCCCAGTGCCAAGGGCTGAATGGGTGGTCAGCAAAGATTGGTGTTCCTTGGCCTCAGAGCCCCCTAGACAATTTGCTTAACCTCTCTGTGCCTCTGCTAATTCATCAATAAAATAGGAATGGTGATGGCTCCCCTCTTGTAGGAGTGCTGTGAGGCTTAGTGAACTGATACATATCAAGCAATGAACATGATTCTTGGCATACAGTAAATGTCCCACTGACGCTGGTAAATCCTACAAGGGCAGCAGAAAACCAAAGCTGCCTGACACTGTGCACAGACTCCAAGGCTGAGAGCATCCCTATCCCCCTAGTTTCTGAGGAGGTAGGCCTGGCCTTGCAGCCCCATGGAACCCTGAAGAAAAGGTCTTGTGACTCTAGAGTTTGTTGACTCAGTAGGGAGAGGTGTGACAAGAGAACAAGTGTGGGCAGGGAACAGCCAGAGAGGAACCCCATCAGGACACCTGGAGCAGAAAGGACAGAGTTGGGATGTGTGTCTCCTTCTGCCCAGGAACAGGGCAGAATCTGCATAGAATATTAACAAAAACTGATTAAAAAACATTTAAAAAATTGTGACAATAAAGCTACATTTTCTGATATACATAAGATCATGTCTGAAACCCAAAACAACCATATAAGTAAACACTTGGATTAAAGACAAAATGATAGAGAAATATAGAAAGAAAGTATTTACAAATATTCCAACTTGGTTTTAAGAATTAAAAAAACTTACTATAAAATTTATGTATGAGAACAAAGAGCCATAAGTAGCTTCATCGATTTCCAAAAATAAAAATTATAAAGCCAAAGAGTTGGCTGGGCACGGTAGCTCACACCTGTAATGCCAGCACTTTGGGAGGCCGAGGTGGGCGGATCACAAGGTCAGGAGATCAAGACCATCCTGGCCAACATGGTGAAACCCCGCCTCTACTAAAATACAAAAAATTAGGTGGGCGTGGTGGTGCGTGCCTGTAGTCATAGCTAGTCAGGAGGCTGAGGAAGGGGAATCGCTTGAACCTGGGAGGTGGAAGTTGCAGTAAGCTGAGATTGCGCCACTGCACTCCAGCCTGGTGACAAAGCAAGATTCTGTCTCAAAAAAAAAAGGCCAAAGAGTTATTATACATCTTATCAGATATTTATAAAACACACTATAAATGTATCATTTTAAAACCATGTAATACTGTTCTAGTGAAAGATAAATGTACACATGAAGCAAAATAAAGAGTCCAGAATTCGAGTGCTGTATAAGTAGGGACACAGGGTGCAATTGCCTCTCATTTGGGAATAGATGGAGTGTTTTGCATGTGGTGTGGGGCAATACTGATACAGCGATCGGAGCAAAAGAGAGCTAATTTCTTAAATAAAACAAGGTGAACTATGATGGATTAAGTAAAAATAAAGCTATCACTTTTTAAGAAGGGCATGTAGAAGAATATTTGGGTGCACTTGTGTTAGAGAAATGTTTCTATAACAATACCCAAGAACACAAACCATATTTAAAAACCACTGGATTTTGTTGCATCGAAAAGAGTTTACTATTTCACCAAATATCAACCTTTCATAAATATCACTGTAAAAGACTTTTGTATGAATTGAGCTCACTAGGTATTAATATCTATCATACTAAAAGAATTTGTAACATAGACAATGACAAAATTCAAAAACAGGAAACACATTGGAAAAATATTTAAAGATTTGACTAAGCAACATACAGAAGAAAAACTCTAAATAGATAATAGATATTTGGAGAAATTCTGATAAGTAAGGAGAACAATGCAACTGAAACAATAATGAGTGTGTGCTTTAAGCTCAAATTAGCAAAAATCTTATTACTGGTGAGAATGTAGCAAAAAGTACCTGATTTTGATACCGTTTAAACTAGAATGGTCATTCTGGAGAAACCCGTAATCCTTGATGAGATTAAAATTCATATAGCCCAAACTTTGAAAATTCCGCTCTTCATAAATTGTCATAGAGTTCATAAAATAAGCTCTTTAAGGACATTTTTTGCAGCATTGATTGTGGCATCAGGGATCTGAAGACAATGTAGGTAGCCCTCACTGAAAAGATGAATATGTAAACTGTAGCGGCTCCATACCGTGGTATATATTATAGCTGTGTATGTACAGCAACAGGGACACTTTCTATCTTCAAGGCCAATAGATGTAGTTAAAATAATATAATCTATACCACAATAACATTTATGTAAATTTACAAATTTCTTTTTTTAAATTTTATTATTATTATACTTTAAGTTTTAGGGTACATGTGCACAAATTTCTAACAGCGTTGTGTATTTTACTGACATATATATAGTCCATTGTGTTTCTCGTTTGCTTTCAGATCTGTTCTCCATTCTTCACATTTAGGCTGCATTTCTGTAGTTCTCTTGTGAGCTATTTTCTGATTAGGTGTGACTAATGAAAGCTCTGGTTGGAGCTGGTGAGGAAGACAAAGAGAATCAGAGTATTATCTCTCTCCTCTCCTCCCTTTTCCTCTTCTCCCTCCCCCTCCCCCCACTACTTTCCCCACTACTTTCTCCTTCCCTCCACCTTCTTCCTCTTTCTCTCTTCTCCTCTCCTCTCTTCTTTTTGTGGATTTTTTGTTGTTGTTGTTGTTGTTGTTGTTTTTTTTTTGCAGTTGCCATATATTCTCTACTGTTTCAAGTTTTTACCAGACATGTCCTATTCTGGGGCTCTAACTCTTACAGAGCAGTTCCTGACATGGTTCTAGAACCTGCAAGGTTTCCCTGATGTTTTGATTCTGGTGAATATCACTTTTCTCCAGTGTCCTTCCGGCCCATTGGGTTTCTGTGATCTCTTGCTGTCTTCTTTCCTTATGGTCTCCTTCTGCTAATCTCTGGTTAGCTTCACCATCTTGTTTGTCTTAACTTTTTTTTTAGCAGTATCAGATATTAGGAGTGTCTCAGGCAATAGACCCTAAAATGGGATACTGAGATTGGGAAGCTGATCTGCTTAACCTTTAATACAATGATAACTTCTTCGCAGATGGAAACTGAAATCATGGTAATCTGTGACAAGCGAAAGCATTGTGAGCATAGGTGCTTGAGGTGAAACACTGGTGGAAAGCAAGTGTTTGGAAGGTTAAGTAATGGCTGCACATATTCATCATGGTAACTGTGGTGCCTACAACAGACTGTAGCTGTTTCTGATTGTGATCAATGTTTATAAAAAAAGGAGAAGTGTGGGGCTATGTTATCTTGCCTGCTCTCTGTCCTAATATAGCATTCAGTGACTTTAATTATCAGCACATTCCACGGAATGTCACACAGGTCAATTATATTGATAATATACAGTTTGTTCCTGAGGAGCATCAAGGAGCAAGCGCTCCAGATGTCTTAAGAAGATACATGGCATCAGAGGTAAAGAGAAAAACACCACGCACTTCTAGCTCCCTGCCACTTAAGTAATGTGTCTGAACATCTAGGAAGCTGGGACATGTTGAGATACACTCTCCAGAATGATACATCACTTTTAATTTTGGAGGTAAAATATGGCATACTTGGTGTGCTGATCCAAGGAATTTACTGAATAATTTACTTCCTGCTGTTACCTAACTCTGTTTGCTTTGGCATCTGTTGTTCGTTGGGCTTATCAATGATAAAGAAATTTCATTATATAAAATTCCCTCTGCTTGAAACACTAGAGGGACTTCTATTTTCTTTTTTTTTTTTTTTTTTTTTTTTTGAGACGGAGTCTCGCTCTGTCGCCCAGGCTGGAGTGCAGTGGCGGGATCTCGGCTCACTGCAAGCTCCGCCTCCCGGGTTCACGCCATTCTCCTGCCTCAGCCTCCCAAGTAGCTGGGACTACAGGCGCCCGCCACTACGCCCGGCTAATTTTTTTTTGTATTTTTAGTAGAGACGGGGTTTCACCGTTTTAGCCGGGATGGTCTCGATCTCCTGACCTCGTGATCCGCCCGCCTCGGCCTCCCAAAGTGCTGGGATTACAGGCGTGAGCCACCGCGCCCGACTTCTATTTTCTTGAATAGCCACTGACATCTATACAATACATATGCAAAGACATAATCCATAAAAATTACAGTGAGTTGCTACATAGAGATAAAGACTAAAGAGAGTATTAAGGTAGAAGAAGCAGTTATAAAATGATATAAAAATGGAACTTGAATAGTTTACTATAATTGAAAGAATGGAATTTAATCATATTAAACGGAAAACATATACATGAAACTAAGATCATGTGACCTATTAAAGTTAAAAATATATTCTTAGTGGCTAAATTGGGACTAAAATCCTCATCTCTTACTTGAAAGCTCTTTTAATGATGCTTGCTCCTATTTCATACTGGTTTTCAGGTTTTAATTCTTATTCTGCTATTGTTGAGAGCTTCTTTCAAAGGAAAAAAATAGAATATATTAAAACGCATACTGGAAAGCAAAGAATCTTGAGGGTGGAAATCGTACACTTAAAGGAGGATAGTTATTATAAGAATTTCCATTAAAAACACAGTGCTAGATTTTTCACCCAAAGCTCTGTGGTTTACTTTTCTGTCTTTGGGAATTTCACAAACAACTTATGAAGTTCTAGCCAAAACTTTGAGGTTTGCCTTTCCATAAGTGTATGGAACAAGCCAAGAGCTGTAAGTGTAGCCAAATGAAACAATGAAAACCACAAGACCTGCTGGCCTTGCTCCTCTTTCCTTTACTTGATTTTGAGTCCCTGGAGAAGAAACCACCTGAGTTTCATTTGTATATGGTTAAGGCTCTTGAGAACTAAGCCTCCTAGCTAATGGTTCTCACTCAACTTGAAATAAAGGCATACAAGTATTGAATACTAAGGAAGTGGAAACATTTTGGTTCCTATTATTCCTGTTGTTCTATTTATTTATTGTCAAAGGGACCTCTGCAGACATGCACACAGCCACAGTGTGCTTCTGTTTCCAGGAATTCTGGAGGGCACAGTGATACATATCTCTTCAGAAATGGAATATGCTGAGCCCCACTAGCCAGAATAATAGACTGTATACTGCTTGAAAACAGAGTTAATGTATTTTATATTTCCTTTTTTATTCCCTGGTAAACCTCTAGTATATTATTCAGTAAAAGTTTATTTTTAACTCTCTGGCTCAATTTGCCACCCTAGTCAGGGCTGTGTCTTACACAACATTTGTCTTTCTTGTCTCTAGTATTCTAACATTTTAGTGCCCTGCTCCAGTCCCAACACTGATTACACTGCAGTGCAAATTCAATTTAACTAAGACTTATTAAGCAATGTAATCTCTGGAGCCTGATTGCTGGAGTTACTTAACCTTTTGGTGCCTCAGTTTCATTATCTACTTTATTCTTCATAGGATTGTTGTAAGGTTAAATGAGTGTACACATATGAAGTGCTTACAACAGTGCCTGGCACACCACAAGTGCTCAATAAATATTTGTTGCTAGTAGCAGTGGTAAGGCCCAGCATTAGGTACTGGAATATGAAGAAAATGGGAAGCTTTGAGTAGCCTTAAAAAACATAGCAAACACCTTCAGTTGGCAACACTTGGTAACAGATCTGCCTTTCTCTTCAGGGTCATTTATGTTTGACATGAAAAACTAAAAGAAATAAGCTCTAAGGCTGACATTTCTTGCACTCAGTAGAAGAGAGCTCTTGGAGAGCTGGACACATTTACTCACTAACCTATTCAATTATTCATTGACTCATTCAGTAATTATGAAGTTACCTACTGTTTCTGTGCATGCTAGGTAGGGTAATTCTAGGTGCTGTAACAAACAAATTTCTAAATGGTAGTACTCTAACAAAACACCACTTTAATGCTGGCTCATGCAACACCCCAATGTGGATGCTCCTGGTTGGAACACAGCTTTCCACTGCATGATGGCTCAGGGACCCAGGATCCTCCCATCTTGTGGATGCATCATCACCCAGGGCCTCAAAGTATTATGCTTCCTATCACAAGTTGGAATAGAAAAGGATAGACAAGGTAAAGTTGCTTATTAATTGCTTTGTTCTGGTGGAAGTAACAAATACTACTTTTTCCTGGCAAGACCCCATTCAGATGCAAGGGAACAGGGAAAATATAGATACTGCTTGGGTAGCTGCTTATAAAAACCAAATCTATCCTATAGAAGAGGGGGAACAAGTTCTTTTCTGTTTCAATCTGTTGCTGCCCAGGCTGGAGTGCCGTGGCATGATCTCAACTCAAAGCAACTTCCAGTTCTTGGGTTCAAGCAATTCTCCTGCCTCAGCCTCCTGAGTAGCTGGACTACAGGCATATGCCACCATGCCCGGCTAATTTTTGTATTTTTAGTAGAGACGAAGTTTCACCATGTAGACCAGGCTAGTCTTGAACTCCTGACCTCAGGTGATCCACCTGCATTGGCCTCCCAAAGTGCTGGGATTACAGGCATGAGCCACCATTCCTGGCCTGAGGGGGAACAAATTCTGCTGTCTGATTAGTCATCTCTTCTCTGCTGAGATACAGAGATACATATAAGACCTGCCCTCATTTATCATTGGAAGAGCAGGGGCACAAGCTGGAAACCCAGAGATGGGATTCCCTATTATGCCTGGAAGGTCAAGCAATGCTTTAGGGAGAACGTAGAGACCATAGCTACCTCCTGTATTAGTACAGGTCAACAATACAACAGAAAAGATGTCATGTTTTTAAAAGGGACTATGATTTGCAGGGGTACTGAGGCAATGTAACTCCACAAGGCTGGAACACATGTGTAGAGAACTGGTTGGGAAAAGAACCATATATTCAGTTGAACAATATTTTATAGGGGACACAAATTAATCTGTAGAAAAATTACCCTGAAGACAGTGTGTAAGCCATTTGAAGATATTAAAGACTCTGAAGCCAGTTAACAAATAAAAAAACTTAAATAGGAGGACATGGGCATGGTAAATTCTGCAGAAATTACAAAGTAGTTTGATATTTTACCTCCTATGTGGTTGCTTGTTCTTTCTACATGTGATTTCTATCTTATTTTGAATATTTTACAATGCAAAGAAAAAAACAAAAGTCAATTAAAAGTTTTATAATTTTTTAGAAAACTCTAAATTACTTTTTGGCCCTTTATAATTTACATTGCAAAGCAATAAATGAGAGTCAAAAGGTACATACAGGGTACTGTACTCTGCATGGTGAAATAAGGACTCGCCATGCTGAAGACTCAAAGTCACAGATTTAAATACACACACCCACAGACATACACACACAGGCATATACACACTACGCATGTGCTTTATTGCATGGGGAACAAAATCAATTAGGAACTGAGTATAAAGAAAAGGAATATTTGTCCTATTTATCTTTCTTCTGACCACTTACTTCCCTTACATATCCCACAGTTAATGTCCTAGTCATTGTAAATCCACTAGGAGATTTAGCTTACATGAGTAACCACCATCTACTCAATATTTTTCTGGGAACTTGGCTGCCAATTGGGTTCATCAAATATTTGAGGGTTATTTTCAAAGACTCTAGGCTGTCTAGTGCCAAGCTAACTTTGGCCCAGCAACTTACCCTTGATTTTTAAGTAGCTTCCTGCTAAAGAAAATTGAATCTGCATGTTTCTAATCCATTTAAAGTTAGATCATCAAAATACAGCTTTAAAAAAGCGATCCAAAATAATTGTGAGTTTCTTCATTCTTCCTTCCATTAAATGAGGATGTCTCAAGTGTTACACTTCAAGTTTGTTGTAAAGCTCGAAACTCTTAGAAACTGACTTTAAAAGTTGGCAGTCTCTATTCTCTTATCCCTAAGGCATATAGTAGGTACTTTGAAAGTTTGCTTTTAAACATGTTTTCAGAACATTCTTGGAGCTCATTCATGTAGGACTGAGTTCCTTCCTTTCCACCAAGCCACAATTCTTCCTCCATTGGGAGTCTCCCTTGAATTCAACGGAAGCTGCACAGGTGGAATGTCATGATGGCTTCATGAGAAAAAATTTGGGACAGTTATTTCCAATTTTCTATCCAATATAATCTTAGGTTCTTCTTCAGGCAAGACTGTGTTCAAAATTACTTCCTGCCACAAGAATTCAAAATTTCATTGTAATTTTCCTTGTGTATTGTTTGCTATCATAATCAATCCTACATCAAGATGACCCTTTCAGAGTCTTTTATATATTTTTCTTATAGAAACACAGAGAAATTAGTGAAGCTTGTTCAATTACCTTGTAAACCTTACATTCATCATAGCTATGTTATTTTATTTGGGATTATACGATTTCTTAGCTTACAAGTATTCAAAATTAAAAAGGAAATATTGTATTTATTTATTTATTTTTTATTTTTTAGAGACAGCATCCTGCTCTGTCACCCAGGCAAGGCTAAAGTGAAGTGGCACCCTCATAGTTTACTGCAGCCTCAAATTTCTGGCCTCAAGCAATTCTCCCACCTTAGCCTCCTGAGTAGCTAGAATTACCAGCACGTGCCACTATGCCTGATTTGAGAAGATTAATTATTTTATCATCATCATATAAAAATTGCATTATTGCCTATTTCTAACTCCATTTATTCACTAAAAATTTGTGCCTTTAATGTTCAGAAATAATTTTAGGGTCTATGGTAAATACTAAGATGAATATGACAAAAATCATTAACTTACCACGCTAAACATATCACTGTCCAAGTGTATTGTGTCTTTGTAGATTCCATATCATTAATGCACATTCAAAGAAATTCCATAAGTTTTTCATAGGATAATTACTGACACCGTGTTTTTAGATTATTTAACAGAGCTTATGACTCATGAAAAGTTGGTATATCTTAATGGAACATTCAGACTAAAGTGATTAAATAAAATAACATTTGGGGTCAGATGATGTTCTCATTGATCATGCTACCATATCTTCATCTACCTCCTTAGCCACTCCGTTACTCTGACCTCCATCTCTCCTTTTCATCTGCAGCTTTTCCAATGGTTCCATTGCTCCTCCTCTGTCAGCCTTTATTTTTACAAACACATTTATGTTGTGGCATTTTTCACTCATCTTATGCCAAATACTAAAGATAGTTCTCCGTTTTCTTTCTACTGAAACTTTGAGCAACATTCATCCCTGTTGATTCCATAACCATAGTAAGACGCTTTCTTTCTGTAATAACACTTCATTTTGGTTGTCCCTCTATATCTCCATTATCGTTTCTCAGCCTTTTACATTAGTTTTCCTCCTAAACCTGAGTTTCATTATTTACGTCCTTTATGACAATCTAATACAGCAGGTACCATTTCTAGAAATGATGAATCTGGGTGGGCGTTCCAAGACAGCCAAATAGGAACAGCTCCAGTCTGCAGCTCCCAGTGTGATTGACGCAGAAGACAGGTGATTTCTGCATTTCCACCTGAGGTACCTGGTTCATCTCACTGGGACTGGTTGGATGGTGGGTGCAGTGCAGGGAGGGTGGAGCACAAGCTGAAGCAGGGTGGGGCATTGCCTCGCCCGGGAAGTACAAGGGGTCAGGGGATTTCCCTTTCCTAGCCAAGGGATGCTGTGGGAGACTACCTGGAAAAATGGGACACTCCCACACAAATACTATGCTTTTCCCAAGGTCTTAGCAACTGGCAGACAAGGTGATCCTCTCTTGTGCCTGGCTTGGTGGCTCCCACACCCATGGAGCCTTGCTCACTGCTAGCGCAGCCATCTGAGATCGATCTGCCAGACAGCGGGCTGGCTGTGGAAGGGGCGTCTGCCATTGCTGAGGCTTGAGTAGGTAAACAGAGCCTCCTGGAAGCTCGAACTGGGCAGAGCCCACTGCAGCTCAAGGCCTACTGCCTCTAGACTCCACCTCTTTGGGCAGGGCATAGCTGAACAAAAGGCAGCAGACAACTTCTGCAGACTTAAACGTCCCTGTCTGACACCTCTGAAGAGTGCAGTGGTTCTGCCAGCATGGCTTTTGAGCTCTGAGAACAGACAGACTGCCTCCTCAAGTGGGTCCCTGAACCCCAAGTAGCCTAACTGAGAGACACCTCCCAGTAGCGGCTGACAGACACCTCATATAGGTGGCTGCCCCTCTGGGACAAAGTTTCAGAGGGAGGATCAGGTAGCGATATTTGCTGTTCTGCAATATTTGCTGTTCTGCAGCCTCCGCTGGTGATACACAGGCAAAAAGTGGAACTCCAGCAAACTCCAACAGACCTGCAGCTGAAGGACCTGACTGTTAGAAGGAAAACTAACAAACAGAAAGGAATAGCATCAATATCAACAAAAAGTTCATCTACACCAAAACCCCATCTGTAGGTCACCAATATCAAAGACCAAAGTTAGATAAAACCACAAAGATGGGGAGAAACCAGAGCAGAAAAGCTGAAAATTCTAAAAATCAGAGCACCTCTTATCCTCCAAAGGGTTGCAGCTTCTCGCCAGCAGTGGAACAAAGCTGGACAGAGAATGACTTTGACGAGTTGACAGAAGTAGGCTTCAGAAGGTCGTTAATAACAAACTTCTCCGAGCTAAAGGAGGATGTTCTAAACCATCGCAAGGAAGCTAAAAACCTTGAAAAAAGATTAGACGAACGGCTAACTAGAATAAACAGTGTAGAGAAGGCCTTAAATGACCTGATGGAGCTGAAAACCACAGCACAAGAATTTTGTGACACATGCACAAACATCAATGGCCCATTCAGTCAAGCGGAAGAAAGGGTATCAGTGATTGAATATCAAATTAACGAAATAAAGCGAGAAGACAAGGTTAGAGAAAAAAAGAGTAAAAAGGAATGAACAAAGCCTCCAAGAAATATGGGACTATGTGAAAAGACCAAATCTACATTTGAGTGGTGTATCTGAAAGTGACAGGGAGAATGGAGCCAAGTTAGATATTCCTCCTCAGGATATTATCCAGGAGAATGTCCCCAGTGTAGCAAGGCAGGCCAACATTCAAATTCAGGAAATACAGAGAACACTACAAAGATACTCCTCGAGAAGAGCAACCCCAAGACACATAATTGTCAGATTCACCAAGGCTGAAATGAAGGAAAAAGTGTCAAGGGCAGCCAGAAAGAATGGTCGAGTTACCCACAAAGCGAAGCCCATCAGAATAACAGCTCATCTCTCAATAAAAACCCTACAAGCCAGAAGGGAGTTGGGGCCAATATTCAACATTCTTAAAGAAAAGAATTTTCAACCCAGCATTGCATATCCAGCCAAACTAAGCTTCATAAGTGAAGGAGAAATCAAATCCTTTACAGACAAACAAATGCTGAGAGATTTTGTCATCACCAGGCCTGCCTTACAAGAGCTCCTGAAGGAAGCACTGAACATAGAAAGAAACAACCAGTACCAGCCACTGCAAAAACGTGCAAAATTGTAAAGCTCATTGATGCTATAAAGAAATCGCAATTAATGGGCAAAATAACCAGCGAACATCATAATGACAGGATCAAATTCACACATAACAATATTAACCTTAAAAGTTAATGGGCTAAATGCCCCAATTAAAAGACACAGACTGGCAAATTGGATAAAGAGTCAAGATCCATCAGTGTGCTGTATTCAGGAGACCTATCTCACATGCAGGGACACACATAGGCTCAAAATAAAGGGATGGAGGAAGATCTACCAAGCAAATGGAAAACAAAAAAAAGGCAGGGGTTGCAATCCTAGTCTCTGATGAAACAGACTTTAAACCAACAAAGATCAAAAGAGACAAAGAAGGCCATTACATAATGGTAAAGGGATCAATTCAACAAGAAGAGCTAACTATCCTGCATATATATGCACCCAATACAGGAGCACCCAGATTCACAAAGCAAGTCCTTAGAGACCTACCAAGAGACTTACACTCCCATACAATAATAATGGGAGACTTTAACATCCCAATGGCAATATTAGACATATCAACGAGACAGAAAATTAACAAGGAGATCCAGGACCTGAACTCAGCTCTGCAACAAGCAGACCTAATAGACATCTACAGAACTCTCCACCCCAAATCAACAGAGTATACATTCTTCTCAGAACCTCATTGCTCTTATTCTAAAATTGATGACATAATTGGAAGTAAAGCACTCCTCAACAAATGCAAAAGAACAGAAATCACAACAAACTGCCTCTTAGACAGCAGTGCAATCAAAGTATTACTCAAGATTAAGAAACTCACTCAAAACTGCACAACTACATGAAAACTGAACAACTTGCTCCTGAATGACTATTGGGTAAATAAGGAAAGGGAGGCAGAAGTAAAGATATTCTTTGAAACCAATGAGAACAAAGACACAATATACCAGAATTTCTGGGACACATTTAAAGCAGTTTATAGAGGGAAATTTAAAGCACTAAATGCCCACAAGAGAAAGCAGGAAAGACCTAAAATCAACACTCTAATATCATGATTAAAAGAACTAGAGAAGCAAGAGCAAACAAATTCAAAAGCTAGCAGAAGGCAAGAAATAACCAAGATCAGAGCAGAACTGAAAGAGAGAGACACAAAAAAACCCTTCAAAAAATCAATAAATCTAGGAGCTGGTTTTTGGAAAAGATCAACACAATTGATAAACCTCTAGCAAGACTAATAAAGAAGAAAACAGAGAAGAATAAAATAGATGCAATAAAAAATGATAAAGGGAATATCATCCCCAATCCCACAGAAATACAAACTACCATCAGATAATACTATAAACACTTCTATGCAAATAAACTAGAAAATCTAGAAGAAATGGATAAATTCCTGGACACATACACCCTCCCAAGACTACACCAGGAAGAAGTTGAATCTCTGAACACACCAATAACAAGCTCTGAAATTGAGGCAATAATTAATAGCCTACCAACCAAAAAAAGCCCAGGACCAGACAGATTCACAGCTGAATTCTACCAGAGGTACAAAGAGGAGCTGGTACCATTCCTTCTGAAACTATTCCAATCAATAGAAAAAGAAGGAATCCTCCATAACTCATTTTATGAGGCCAATGGTATCCTGATACCAAAGCCTGTCAGAGACACAACAACAACAACAACAACAAAAAAAAAAAAAAAAAAAAAAGAGAGAGAGAGAATTTTAAGCCAATATCCATGATGAACATCGATGCCAAAATCGTCAATAAAATACTGGCAAACCGAATCCAGCAGCACATCAAAAAGCTTATCCACCATGATCAAGTCAGCTTCATCCCTGAGATGCAAGGCTGGTTCAACATATGCAAATCAATAAATGTAATCCATCACATAAACAGAACCAACAAGAAAAACCACATGATTATCTCAATAGATGCAGAAAAGACCTTTGAAAAAATTCAACAGTCCTTCATGCTAAAAACACTCAATAAACTAGATATTGATGGAACATATCTCAAAATAATAAGAGATATTTATGACAAACCCACAGCCAATATCATACTGAATGGGCAAAAACTGGAAGCATTCCCTTTGAAAACTCGCACAAGACAGGGATGCCCACTCTCACCACGCCTATTCAACATAGTGTTGGAAGTTTTGGCCGGGGCAATCAGTCAAGGGAAAGAAATAAAGGGAATTCAATTAGGAAAAAAGGAAGTCAAATTGTCCCTGTTTGCAGATGACGTGATTATTTAGAAAACCCCATTGTCTCAGCCCAAAATCTCCTTAAGCTGATAAGCAACTTCAGCAAAGTCTCAGGATACAAAATCAATGTGCAAGAATCACAAGCATTCTTATACACCATTAACAGACAAACAGAGCCAAATTATGAGTGAACTCCCATTCGCAATTCCTACAAAGAGAATCAAATACCTAGGAGTCCAACTTACAAGGGATGTGAAGGACTTCTTCAAGGAGAACTACAAACCACTGCTCAAGGAAATAAAAGAGGACACAAACAAATAGAAGAATATCCCTTGTTCATGGATAGAAAGAATCGATATCGTGAAAATGGCCATACAGCCCAAAGTAATTTATAGATTCAATGCCATCCCCATCAAGCTACCAATGACTGTCTTCACAGGACTGGAAAAAAACTACTTTAAAGTTCATATGGAACCAAAAAAGAGCCCACATTGGAAAGACAATCCTAAGCCAAAAAAATAAAGCTGGAGGCATCACACTACCTAACTTCAAACTATACTACAAGTCTACAGTAACCAAAACAACATGGTACTGTTACCAAAACAGAGATATAGACCAATGGAACAGAACAGAGTCCTCAGGAATAACACCACACATCTACAACCATCTGATCTTTGACCAACCTGACAGAAACAATAAATGGGGAAAGGATTCCCTATTTAATAAATTGTGCTGGGAAAACTGGCTAGCCATGTGTAGAAAGCTGAAACTGGATCCCTTCCTTACACCTTACACAAAAATTAATTCAAGATGTATTAAAGACTTAAATGTTAGACCTAAAACCATAAAAACTCTAGAAGAAAACCTAGGCAATACCATTCAGGACATAGGCATGGGCAAGGACTTCATGACTAAAACACCAAAAGCAATGGCAACAAAAGCCAAAATAGACAAATGGGATATAATTAAACTAAAGAGCTTCTGCACAGCAAAAGAAACCACCATCAGAGTGAACAGGCAACCTACAGAAAGAGAGAAAATTTTTGCAATCTATCCATCTGACAAAGGGTTAATATCCAGAATCTACAAAGAACTCAAACAAATTTATGAGAAAAAAACAAGCAACCCCATCAAAAAGTGGGCACTTTTTGATGTATAGAACAGGCACTTCTTTCTATACACTTTCAGAAGTATAGAACAGGCACTTCTCGAAAGAAGACATCTATGCAGCCAACAGACAGATGAAAAAATGCTCATCATCACTGGCCATCAGAGAAATGCAAATCAAAACCACAATGAGATACCATCTCAAGCCAGTTAGAATGGCAATCATTAAAAAAGTCAGGAAACAACAGATGCTGGAGAGGATGTGTAGAAATAGGAACGCTTTTACACTGTTGGTGGGAGCGTAAATTAGTTCAACCATTGTGTAAGGCAGTGTGGCGATTCCTCAAGGATCTAGAGCTAGAATTACCATTTGACCCAGCAATCCCTTTACTGGGTATATACCCAAAGGATTATAAATCATGCTACTATAAAGACACATGCACTCCTATGTTTATTGTGGCACTATTCACAATAGCAAAGACTTGAAACCAAACCAGATGTCCATCAATGATAGACTGGATTAAGAAAATGTGGCACATATACCCCATGGAATACTATGCAGCCATAAAATAAGATGAGTTCATGTACTTTGGGTTTGCAAGGACATAGATGAAGCTGGAAACCATCATTCTGAGCAAACTATCACGAGGACAGAAAACCAAACACCGCATGTTCTCACTCATAGGTGGGAATTGAACAAAAAGATCACTTGGACACAGGGCGGAGAACATCACACACCGGGGTCTTTTGGGGGGTGGGGGACTGGGGGATGGATAGCATTAGGAGAAATACCTAATGTAGATGACGGTTTGATGGGTGCAGCAAACCAACATGGCACATGTATACCTATGTATCAAACCTGCACATTGTGCGCATGTACCCTAGAACTTAAATTATAATAATAAAAATAAAAGAAATGATGAATCTGAAGGTATTTTATGATTACACAAATAATAAATGGTAGAGATAGAATTTTGACCCAAATCTATCTATCTCCAAATCCGGTTTTTTTTTTTTTTTAATACACACTTTTCCTTCCTGGGCCATAATAAGGGTGGTGACAGTGTTTGTCTCTCTTTTCCTGCTGTAAGCATCAGCTAGCTTTCCTTTTTTTTTAGGGCTACTTCAACCCATGAGTAATCTGAATTCCACTCATTCAATTTCTTTTTACCCTCCTATATTCTTGGTTTTTGGTAGCACATAGTTTTTCGAGCTCACCAATTTCTTTTTTCTTGTTGTTTGAGGAATTTACTGTAAATCACTATAGGAAAGCAAATGGCACAACCATGTGATTATTACAAAGGTTGAAGAGTCTTATCATGTTATTGAAAAAGCAAGATAACCTACTTTCATATAAACTAGTGTTCATATTTTAATGCCAAGACATCATAACTCATATGTTCTTTTATACAAATTAGCAAATTAAATGTGTTTAATAACTAATTGCATATCTCATATTTATTTCCACAAAGGTTTATAACAAAATGCCCTGCCAATAGAAGTTATAAAGTTTTAGACGTTTGTAATTAGTGAGAGGAAAATCAAGTATAATTAATCTTTGCCAACTCTCTCAGTTCCCCTGTATGTTTTAGCTCTATCACTTAGGAAATCATTGAGATATAGGTGTGATTGTACCTAATACATTCCCATACGTGTCTAACACCTCCTCTTAGCAGCCCCAGACTTCCTTATGCACAATCATTTTGGAAAGTGTAGATTTATTCCCTTATGAGCATTTTTAAAAAGGTGAAAACTGAAGTGTAAATGGCATTCATCTCACCAAATCAGTTGGAATGGAGCTGCTGTTAAGGTGATTTCAAAGGGAAAAAAAGAGGAATATAATGCATCTCTCAGTAACAAATTCTTTGAATACAAACTATCTGAGCACTAATCTCAGATGCAGACTTGGTTCAGGCAGTTTGATTTGCAGCTTTAATTTAGAGAGTAGTGGTTTTGATGTGAGTTAAGGACAGAGCTTGAAAATCTGAATAAACAATAAAATAGGTCACTACAAGTGTATACATAGTGTATTCCTGCTAACAATGCATTTCTGGAAAAGAGGTAAATGAGACTTCGCTCAGGTGACAAATCCACTCAGTTCTCTCATGCATGTAAGCATAATCTAAGACTAACTGTGAGGGCAATTCCATTTTCAAATAATTTATTCATTAAATAATCTCTTCCACATCTTATTAAAACCCAATAAACATAAGAAAATGAAAAAAAAAACCACTGCTATTAGACACTACAATCAATCTCATTGATTTAGAAAGTAAATTGCATCACCACCTCCTTTCTCCTTTGCTAGATTTTGAGTCCCTTATATGAAAGGCCTGAGATTTAAGAATATTTGTTTCTCTGGTGCTTCTCATAGTAATGGCATACAATAGACATACAATAAATGTCCACTGTAATAAAAAACAATTTTTTTTCTGTTCAGAGATATTACAGAATCACCAAGTTGAGTAAAAAGTTGGAGCAACTTGATAGTCCTCTATCACATGATTTGAAACTGAAATTAATTGCTCTCTTCTTTGCTAGATAATTTTTTTCAAATGGCTAAGGGTGGGGTTAATTTTGACAGGTAAGTTTTATAGTTTGGATACACATTAAACATTTGGTTTTAATTGAGGGCTTTTTTTTCCCCTTCAGGCCACCCAAAAGCTTCTTTGTAAGAATATGTTTATGTCTGTATGTTTTTTTCCCTTTCACCATTTGCTGATACAGTATTTAATTTCTTTCATTTATGGCCTAAAGTATAATATTCTGTCTATTGAAAGAGCATTCACTAAGTATGAAAAAAGTATATATTTCAGTTTTCCATTAGGAAATCCAAAACCTCCATATTCCATTTGGATGCTGCATTTCACTATTTTGTCCCAGTTTCTTAAAAAGTGCTAGAAGGCATAAGACCAAAATCTAACAGAAATATGGAAATTAACTCAGTAGGTATCCCAAATTCTATTTTCCTTTACCTTCATGTTAAACTTACGTGGAACTAAAATAACTAGCAAATGTATTCAATTTAGTTTTATTTAATGCATGAAAAATAATTGTTTCATTGCCTGATTTTTAAGAAAAAGAGGCAGGAGAGACAGACACATGCACACACATACACACACACACAGTGGGAGAGAGACAGAATAATTTCTTAAAAATTTGTTTTCTAAATCTAGAAAGCAGAAAAGTTCTAAAGCCTTATATTTCATTTATTGCTGTCTTCATTGTTAGGACAGCAGCTCCCAGCTCCAAATATCATATGCTCGAAGAATCTCAGGGCCAGACCATAAAATGTCATTCTTTTAAAGTAAAATAATAAATTCATAATGAAGAGATTAATAATTTGTAAAAGTAATTCACCCTAAGAGACAGTCTGTAACTTTGTTGTAAAGCAAGACGTTTGTGATTTAATTAATTTTAATTTGTTTAAAAAAATGTAGTCTCTCAGGGGCATGGCATTTTTTATGCAATCTGGGGAGAATAAATAAAGCAAAATAATAAATCGGTATTATTATAGAATGATTGAAATGGTATCCAGACAATATTTGAGAGGCATCGGCACTTGAGCCATTAGAAAGTTGTGCTCTATAGAAAGCAAGATAATTTTCCAGGCTCTACCACAGCCTGAATGAAATATCCCTCAAGACCACAGAAATCCCTTTGCCTGGATTTCATGGTCAGCATATACTTTTATAGTAGAAAAAGATGCCACAGTTTGCAAATATAATTACTCCAGGCACTAAAGAAGTATGTTGGAAAATTTCATTCTATGTGAAAAAATGATATTCCATCTCATAAACTAAAATTTCTTAAAACAAATAACAAATATTCATTGAGCTAAGCATAGAAAAATAAGTAAGAACACATTCTCTATATTGAAGAAATTTACAATATGAAAGGATGAAAAGAAAGGCACAAAGCTAACTCTACTACACAATGCTTGTTGATGTCCTTCCTGATAGTTTAAAGGCAGATAAGAGAGAGCATTTCCTCTGCCTGGTTTTGCTCACTGAAGTCCTTCTGCATGAGTTGACACTTCAACTTCAACGGGTAGTTTGCTTTTCTTGAGTTTAGTTAGCACAAATTGGTTCAGTTAAATTTCATAAGAAGCATATCACTGAATTGACTGTTTTTCCTTCTTTATTTCCTTCTTTAATAACATTACACAATGGAAATGATTAATTAAGCAAGATTGTATAAATAACTTTGGATGAGGCCCAAAAAATGTAACCTAAATTAAGTTAGGTGTCTTTAAACTACATCATATGCTACTTCAGTACATTACCACAGTCAAGAAAATAGACAAAATTGCATGTCGGTGCACACACACATACGTACATACAAATTCAATTTGAAAACATTGAAAAGTGATGTAGATTTCTTTATTCTATGATGTAGAAGTTTTATTTGAGGGATGAGAAATAAATATAATGGATACATTGTAAATATTTGAAAAACTCCCCTGTAAATTTCCTCTCTACTCTTAGTGTTTCCCAGCTACCACATCTTGCCTTTTATCCTTATATCTTTAATATTTCTCTTGTCATCGTATTACACAATTCCTATCTGTAATCCTGCAAAACATCTAAAATCACAATTTAAAAATTAATCAAAGTGACAATTTATTTTTGTACGTGTCCCCAGAATCCGTGTGTCTGAAACTTAATGCCCACTGTTGGAAGGTGGGCCTAATGGGAGGTGTTTAGGTCATGTGACACATAATTTTCAGTATGGTTTAAGAAATGTAACCTAAACTAAAATGAGTATCTTTAAATGGCACCATATCCTACCTCAGTACTTTATTAATAGTACTAATAACTAATTAGTACTATTCAATTAATGTCATTATAAACAGGGCTCCTGGGCATGGGTTCACTCTCTTGTGCCTTTTTGCCCTCTGCCTTCCATTTTGTTAGGACAGAGCAAGAAGCCCTCACTGGATGCTGACACCTTCATCTTGCACTTTTCCTCCATAACTGTGAGAAATAAAATTTTTGTTCGTTATAAATTACCTTGTATGAGATATTATGCTATAGCACACAAATGGACTAAGAGAACAATATTAAAACCTTGTCCTTCATGAAAACGTGGACTTATCAGTTGAGCCTAGCCTGATGTGGAGAGACTTAACTCTTATCTATAATTCTCAATGATAATGAAAAACAGACTAGTTTTTCTTTTTATAAATGTCATCGGGTAATAGTAATAACTTTATTAGTGAAATACTCATTATATATAAGGAACTGCAGGCAAAATACCATTTGTGATTCTCACAACAATGCTGGAATAGAGTTTTCTTATTTTAACAGATGAGGAAACACCAAGAACTTAGACAAGAACTTAAACCAAGCTTCTGTGACTCTAGCATCATCACTTTTCGACTATGATGGTTTTACACAAAGCAGTAATAGCAGTATATTTTGAATATATGAGCACGGGTACTTTAAAATATATGGCCAAGAACAACATCAACAAAAAAATTCTTGAAGTCCAAAGATATTTGACCTCACATTCCCTTCCCCTAACCACTCAAAAATGGGTATGTTCATCTACACGCCAAAAATAATTAATTCAGGAATATTTCCCAGTTGCTAAATGCTGTAGTCTCCAAGACAGTACCCATTACTTCAACCTTGAAAACCTGTGGTTGTGAAGAAGCAGTAATCTTTCCTAAAGTGACCTTTTAGGGGAAAATGGGTTTTGAAAATCTGATTTCTAAAAATGTTACTCCATGAATGATCTACCACAGATATTCAAAGCATACGCCTTTAGTAATGAGTCTGTCACCAGCTAGAAATAGGGCAAGCATTGGTGTATAGGATATTTGAACCATATTAAAATGACTAATGGTAAGCTTTGAAAAAAATTCCTGAAATACAGAAACATGAAATGTTAACATCAAGACCCTTGCATGATTACAAAATCTTTATGCTGATATATTTACACTCTTGAGGCTCTTCAGATGTGCAGGATGCAGAAATAAATTATAGGTTGACACAGACATTGATTAGATACATATATATGGAGGAGAGAGAGAGAGAAAGAGAGATAAAGTTGTTTCTATTCTATCTGGCAAACTTTTAGAACATCCTATGAGAAACATATATGTTTAAGACATTTTCAGCAATCATTAAGGCCAGTATCAGGAACCTACAAGCAAATGAATAAGACAAATAATATAGGTATTATAATTGATCCAGGATTTCATAATAATACCTATGAAAATAATTCAAATAAATGTCTGAATAGCCTAATGTAGATGTTTACATTAAGGAAAAGAATAACCTATAACCATTAAGAAGAATATTATTTGCTAATGGGCCATTGCCAATTGGAAGCTAATAATGTAAGAATACTAGATACAAAATTTTAAAAATAAGTTATAAGCTTTTAATGCCAGCCAGCAAAATGTAAAATAACTTTACTTCATAAATGTGTTATACTGTACAGAGAATTTACAGTTTTAAAAAGAATGATTGATGTGTTGAATTTGAAAAAGTTCACATCATTTAGTAATATAACCTTCTTTTCTGTTATGATTTGAAGCATTTGCAGCTATAATGGCCTTTGAGTCTCTGGGATAAGGGCCTTAGCCAAAGCCAGGAGTTGCCTATAAAGTTCCTTTTGACAGAAACTGGGATGGAATCCAGGCTCATTTCAGCAATATTTGTGGAGAGGAGGATTGAACTCAATATATTTGACCCAAAAGTGCATTTTTGGGGCTTGCACCATATTTATTAAAGCCTTGTGGCAGAACTAGAAGTTATTAAATGGGTCAGAGCTGGCTTATAAAGACACAGCTCTAAGCAGTCATAGTTCAATTCGACATATTTCTACTGATCACCTACCTGGAGCCATATCCTAGGCTAGGAACTCATGATTACAAAACAGAGGCACAGATTCAGGCAACTCACAATCTAAAAGAGAAAGAAGGCACATATAAATAACTATAAAACATGGCACAGTATAATACATGATTGTAAAAGAGATACCCAGTGCAACAAGGAGTCACAGATATTGAAAAGATCAGTACTGCATTAATGAGGGAAGTAACATTTGCATTAGGTGCTGGTAAAATGGCTCATGATCAATGTGTGTGTTGCAGGGAGAGGAAGGACAGGACTCCAGCTAAGAAAATAGTAAACACAAAATACATTGGAGGAACTGAAGTTAGCATTCCAAGAAGCAAAATTTTGGCTATTTTAACATACTTATATGTTTAGAAGAAAATATCAGAGTAAATTATTTGACACAAATTTAAAAATGATACAAACTATTTGAAATTAATATGGTCATGTCATTGTTATTTATTCATTTGTAATTAGAAATGTAAGTTGTCTATATGAGAAGGAAGATCAGAGATTTGAAAATCAAATATGGAACACTTGAAATCACTGCTTCACTACTTACCAGTCATGTGACCCTGTGTATTAGTTTCCTACTGCTGCGGTAACAAATTACCTGAATCAGTGACCTAAAACAACACAAATTTAGTATCTGACAGTTCCAGAGGTCTGAAGTCCAAAGTAGAGTTATCAGTGCTGTATTTCAACTGGAGTTGCTAGGGAGAATCTATTTCTTTGCCATTTCCAGCTTTTGGACGCCATCTACATTCTTTGGCTCATAGCCTCTTCCTCTGTCTTCAAAGCCAGCAGTACAACATCTTCAAATCTTCCTCCTCTCTGACTTCTGTTATCACAACTTCTCTGACACTAGCCCTTTTGACTCCATCTTATAAAGACCCATGTGATTATATTAGGGTTGCCCTGATAATTCAGCATTATCTTCCTATCTCAAAATTTTTAATCATATCTACAAAGCCACTTTTGCCATGTATTGTAACATATTTGCATTTTCTGGGGACTAGGATGTGGACACATTTGAAGGACCATTATTCAACATACCATACCCTGAAACACACAGCACAGTGCTGAATAAAAATTGTAATTCCCATTGTCATTGCTGTTAATGGAGTTGTCATTTTGAGGGCTCTCAACAACGGGTTGAACTTTACCCACTTTTTTTGGCAATTGATATGGTTTGGCTATGTCCCCAAATCTCATCTTGAATTGTAACTCCACAATTCCCATGTTTCATGGGAGGAACCTGGTGGGAGGTGATTCAATTATGGGGGCAGGTCTTCACTGAGCCATTCTTGTGATAGTGAATGAGTCTCATGAGATCTGATGGCTTTAAAAATGGGAGTTTTCCTGCACAAGCTCTCTCGTTGCCGGCTGTCATCTATGTAAGATGTGTGACTTGCTCCTCCTTGTCTTTGCCATGATTGTGAGACCTCCCCAGCCATGTGGAACTGTACATCCATTAAATCTCTTTTTCTTCCCAGGCTCAGGTATGTCTTTATCAACAGCATGGAAACAGACTAATACAGCAATGTAGAGCTGACCATTTGAAAAGCAAGTTTATACTGTATAAACTTGACATGTCAATGTTAAGTGTCATGAAGTTTCCTGTAGATAGATGGGAGACAGGGGGATCCCAAAGGGGTGGAGAGCATAGTGTAAATATCCAGGAGGAATATAGGATAAATGAAAAATATTTGCAATGAATGTGATATGTTTGGATTGAATATTCTTTATGGGGCCTGAAAATTAATAAGTAAATATTATTTCAATAGAAAAATGAGCAAGAACATGATAAATTTTGTTGTGGGTTAATCTCAAATTTATTATACCACATGAAAGAAATCACACTCAAATGGTTATATTCTGTGTGACTCCACTTATGTGACATTCTGGAACAGGTAAAATTATTACAACAGGGAACAGGTCAGTGGTTGCCAGGGGCTAGTTGGGGGAAGGCAATTTGCTGCAAAAGAGCATTTGTTTTTGGGAATGACGAAAATGTTCTACATCTTTTTTTTTGTTTTACTTTTATTTTAAGTTCACAGCAGATTTATTACATAGGTAACAAAGGAGGGTTTGTTGTACAGATTATTTTGTCACCCAGGTATTAAGCCTAGTACCTGTAAGTTGCGTTCCCTGATCCTCTGCCTTGTCCCCACCTTCACCCTCCAGTAGGTCCCGGGATCTGCCATTCCCCTCTATGTATCCATGTATTCTCATCATTTAGCTCCCACTTATAAGTGAGCACACTCAGTATTTGATTTTGTTTCTGTGTTAGTTTGCTAAGGAAAATGGCATCAGCTCCATCCACATTTCTGTCAAGGACATGATCTTGTTCTTATTTATGATTGCATAGTATTCCATGGTGTACATTGACCACATTTCTTTATCCATATACCTTCATGGGCATTTAGGTTTATTCCATGTCTTTGCTGTTGTAAACAGTGCTACAATGCACAACAACTGAACTTATTTACACTCCCACCAACAGTATATAAGTATTCCTTTTTCTTTGCAACCTAACGAGCATCTGTTATTTGTTTATTTTTATTATATAATAGCCATTCTGAGTGGTGTGAGATGGCGTCTCATTGTGGTTTTGATTTGCATTTTTCTAATCACCAGTGATGTTGGGCTTTTTTTTTTTCATATTCTCATTGGTCGCATGTATGTCTTTTGGAAAGTGTCCTTTGGACACTTTTCCAAACCATGGATAATTATTCAGCCATAAAGAGTAATGAAATAATGGCATTTGCAACAACCTTAATGGAGCTGGACACCATTATTCTAAGTGAATTAACTCAGGAATGGAAAACAAAATATCATATGTTCTCACTTATAAGCGGGAGCTAAGCTATGAGGATGCAAAGGCATAAGAATGATATAATGGACTTCGGGGACTCAGGGTGAAAGGTGGGAGGGGAGTGAGGGATAAAAGACTACACATTGGGTACAGTGTACACTGCCCTGGTGATAGGTGCACCAAAATCTCAGAAATCACCACTAAAGACCATTTCCATGCAACAAAACACCACCTTTTTCTCCAAAACTATTGTATTTTTTTTAAAGTATCCTTTTCAAAAGAAAAGGACAGAATCCTGCTACTGGGTATATACTCAAAGGAATACAAATTGTTCTATCATAAAGACACATGCACACATATGTTCACTGCAGCACTGTTAACAATAGCATAGACATGGAATCAACCTAAAGGCCTGTCAATGATAGACTGGATAAAGAAAATGTGGTACATATTCACCATGGAATACTATACAACCATAATAAGGAATGAGATCATGTTCTTTGCATGAACATGTTTGGTTCTGGAGGCCAGTATCCTTAGCAAACTAACACTGGAACAGACAACCAAATACTACATGTTCTTGCTTGTATCTCACTTATATGTGGGAGCTAAATGATGAGAATACATGAACACATAGAGGGAAACAACAGATACTAGAGCCTACTGGAGGGCAAGGGAGGGAGGAGGGAGAAGATCCGGAAAAATAATGAGTACTAGGCTTAATACCTGGGTGACAAAATAATCTGTACAACAAACCCCCATGACACGAGTTTACCTATGTAACAAACCTCCACCTGTACCCCTGAACTTAAAATAAAAGTTTACAAAAAGTGTCTGTTCATGTCCTTTGCCCACTTTATGATGGGGTTGTCTTTTTCTTGTAAGTTTGTTTAAGTTCCTTATAGATGCTGGATATTAGATCTTTGTCAGATGCGTGGTTTGCAAAATTTCTCTCCCATTCTGAAGGTTGTCTGTTTACTCTGTTGATAGTTTCTTTTGCTGTGTAGAAGCTCTTTAGTTTAATAAGATCCCACTTGTCACTTTTTGCTTTAGTTGCAATTGCTTTTGACATCTTCATCACAAAACTTTGCCCGTGCCTATGTCCAGAATGGTACTCCGAGGTTTTCTTCCAGGGTTTTAAATAGCTTTGGGTATTACATTTAGGTCTTTAATTTATCTTTAGTTAATTTTTGTATGTGGTATAAGGAAAGGGTCCAGTTTCAATATTCTGCATATGGTTAGCCAGTTATTCCAGCATATTTTACTGAGTAGGGAGTTCTTTTCCTATTGCTTATTTTTGTCAACTTTGTAAAAAATCAGATAGTAGTAGGTATGCTGTCTTATTTCTGAACTCTCTATTCTGTTCATTTGACCTATGTGTCTCTTTTTTTATAAGTACCATACTGCTTTGGTTAGTGTAGACATGTAGTATAGTTTGAACCTGGGTAGTGTGATGCATCCAGTTTGCTCTTTTTGCTTAGGATTTCTTTGGCTATTAGGGCTCATTTTTGTTTATTTATGGATTTTACAATAGCTTTTTTTTTAGTTCTGTTAATAATGTCATTAATAGATTGATAAGAATAACATTGAATCTATAAATTTCTTTGGGTAATATGGCCAGTTTAACAATATTGATTCTTCTTATCCATGAGTATGGGATGCTTTTCCATTTGTTTGTATCATCTCTGATTTCTTTGAGGAGCATTTTGTAGTTCTCCTTTTAGAGATCTTTCACCTCCCTGGTTGGCAATATTCCTAGATATTTTATTCTTTTATTGGCAATTGTGAATTCGATTGTGTTCCTGATTTTGCTCTCAGTTTGACTGTTCTTGGTATCTAGGAATGATAGTAATTTTTGTACATTGATTTTGTATCCTGAGACTTTGCTTAAGTTGTTTATCAGTGTAAGGAGCTTCTGGGCCAAGACTATGAGGTTTTCTACATATAGTATTATGTCATTTGCAAACAGAGATAGTTTGACTTCCTCTCTTCCTATTTGGATGATCTTTATTTCTTTTTCTTGCCTGATTGCTCTTACCAGGACTTCTAATACTATGTTTAATAAAAGTAGTGACAGAGTGCATCCTTATCTTGTACTGGTTTTCAAGGGGGCATGCTTCCAGCTTTTGCTCATACATAATGTTGGCTGTGGATTTGTCATATATGGCTCTTATTATTTTAAGGTATCTTCCTTCAATATATAGTTTATTGAAAGTTTTTAACATGAAGGGGTGTTGAATTTTGTCAAAAGCCTTTTCTGCATCTATGGAGATAATCATGTCAATTTTTTGTCGCCATTTCTGTTTATGTGATGAGTCACATTTATTGATTTGTGTATATTGAACAAACCTTGCATTCCAGGGATGAAGCCTACTTGATTGTGGTGGATGAGCTTTTTCATGTGCTGCTGGATTCACTTTACCCAGTATTTTGTTGAGGATTTTTGCATCGATGCTCATGAAGGTTATTGGCCTGAAGTTTTCTTTTTTTGTTTAATCTGTCAGGTTTTGGTATCAGGATGATGCTGGCCTCATAGAATGAGTTAGGGAGAAGTCCCTTTTCCTCAATTTTTTGGAATAGCTTAAGTAGGAGTGGTACAGCTCTTGTTTGTACATCTGGTAGAATTCAGTTGTGTATCCATTTGGGCCTGGGCTTTTTTTGCTTGATAGGCTGTTTATTACTGTTTCAATTTTTGAGCTCTTTATTGGTTTGTTCAGGGATTCAATTTCTTCCTGGCTCAGTCTTGGGAGGGTGTATGTGTCTAGGAATTTCTCAATTTCTTCTAGATTTTCCAGTTTATGTATATAGAGGTGTTCACAATATTCTCTGATGCTTATTTTTATTTCTGTAGAGTCAGTGGTAATATCCTCTTTGTCATTTCTAATTGTGTTTATTTGGATCTTCTCCCTTTTCCTATTAGTCTAGCTAGTAGTCTAGTAGGTATTTCAAAAAAACCAACACCTGGATTCATTGATCTTTTGAATTTTTTTTTAATATCTCAATCTCTTTCAGTTCAGCTCTGATTTTCATTATTTCTTGTCCTCTTCTGGATTTGGGGTTGCTTTTCTCTTAGTTCTCTAGTTCTTCTAGTTATTTAGTTAGTTATTATTTAGTTATTTAGTTCTCTAGTTCTTTTAGATAGGTTGTTAAACTGACATCTTTCTAACTTTTTCATGTGGGCATTTGGTTTTATAAATTTCCCTCTTAACACTACCTTAGCTGTGGTCCCAGAAATTCTGGTATGTTGTATCTTTGTTCTCATTAGTTTCAAATAACTTGATTTCTGCCTTAAATTAATTATTTATCCAGGATCCATTCAGGAGCAGGTTATTCAATTTCCATGTAATTGTATGATTTTGAGCTAATTTCTTCGTCTTGATTTCTAAGTTGATTGTGCTCCAAGAGAGTATCACCAAACAAAATAAATGTTCAAAATATCTTCACAGTAAATAGTTTTATTGTTCTTATTGTTTTTGGTTGATGTAAAAATGGTGAATAAAGTAAAAATGTCTTTATTCTGGTATCTTTAACCACAAGTCCATTAGCTTGGAAGAATGCTGATATCTCTGCCAGTTGAAATACTTCTTATCACACTGACAGTACTTTCCAGCTACTGCCCTGGTTCCTTTTTTTCACTTCCAGATTACTTCAAGAAGTATTCAACATTTTTAGTTCATCTTCATTGAACTTATCTTTTGAAACAAAATATTTACCCTAAAATCAATGTTAAATATCTGAAGTGTTATACTGTTGCAAGATTTAAAAATGCAAACATGATCTATACTGTACTGTATGGTCTGGTTATTATCTATATCTCTAGTTATATTTCATACTACCTTTTCTTTTGTGTTAAATGTCAAACTATATATCCTTCTTTCACACTTTAAAGTTCCTTTTTACTTCTGGGACTTTGCACTTCCAATTTACTCTGCGTGAAATGCTTTTTCTCTCCTTGCTTCTCTACATTAAATACTAGCAAATTGACACTTGCTCCTTGAGGCTTTTTTCTGATATATGATATCTTAAAACTACATGCCTCTTTTTAATAACACTATCATAATGCCAATATTAAAATATTTGTCAGTGTTTGATTAAGGTCTAGCTCTCTTACCAGACCAAAAACGGTATCTCTTTAGAGATTTCCTTATTGTATTCCTGCAAACTGGTATGCTTATTGGTTCACAGTGGACAGTCCAGACATATGTATTGAAAGAAAGAATGAATCTTTTTTTAAAAGCAGTATGTTGAAGAGTATTACGCTTACGTAGTAAAGAGACTGCTCAGTGGATCACAGACATTGTTACTCTTCTATATTAAAAAAACTGCATTTTTTCAACCAGATACTATTTAAAAATTAATACAAAGATCATGACTATTATATTGTATTGTATTACTATTTGTAATAATTCAGAGTAGATTTTCTTAGTAATTGCTCTGATTTGAATCTATACACTTTTATGCACTTCTCCCCTCAAAATGTTATAAATCTAAACTACTAAAAGAGAAATTGCTTAAATATTAAGACTAATGAGCAGTATCCGTTCCCTTCAGTTTAACCTGACCTGATATACCACAAAAAGACAGTGAAAGGCCGGGCGCCGTGGCTCACGCCTGTAATCCCAGCATTTTGGGAGGCCGCAGCAGGCAGATCACGAGGTCAGAAGATTGAGACCATCCTGGGTAAAACGGTGAAACCCTGTCTCTACTAAAACAAAAATACAAAAAATTAGCCAGGCGTGGTGGCGGGCACCTGTATTCCCAGCTACTCGGGAGGCTAAGGCAGGAGAATGGCGTGAACCCGGGAGGCAGGGCTTGCAGTGAGCCTAGGTCGCGCCACTGCACTCCAGCCTGGGTGACAGAGTGAGACTCCGTTTCAAAAAAAAAAAAAAAAAAAAAAAAATCATTACATCATAATTTTAGCTGTTCATTGTTCTTGGAGTAATCTGGAAGTGAACAAAAGGAACTAGGCTAGGGCAGTAGCTGGAAAGTACTGTCAGTGTGATGAGAAGTATTTCAATTGGCAGAGATATCAGCATTCTTCCAAGCCAATGGACTTGTGGTTAAAGATACTGTAATAAAGACATTTTTACTTTATTCACCATTTTTACATCAACCAAAAACAATAAGAGCAATAAAACATAAAGTAATTACAAGTAGAGAATAATTTTGTCTTTAACAAAAAAAATACAGAAGTGATGTTTTGATATTCATTAATGTGCCTTTTATTATTGGAATTCTATTTACTCCCATCCTGTCTTTCTATATCAGGCAACAGTTATGTAGTCTAGGGATATTGACCCAAGCAGCAAAGTTTGGAACCAAGAACAAACGAGAGAACTTTTCAAGTTCTTGATTTCGAGCTCAAAAATAGTCTTCTGAAGCTCATAGCATAGACAACCATTTGATTTCCCAAAGTTGATTCTTTTTGAGTTACAAAATTTTTGAAATATGCAGGCTAGAACATCAATAGATGAAATATAGATTTGAGAATAATGAATATTGAGATAGGCACAAGTTTTCCCACCATGAACTGGATAAAGATCCCATGAGGAGAAAAAAAGAGGCTTAGTGACATGGACTCAGGGCAGAAATTAGTTCCAGGGAGAAAGCATGAAGAAGGAAGTCCCCAGATACACTGAGTAAATTTGAGAGGAGGTACTGCTTTAATGAAGCAGTTTCCTTTAGAAAGATGATGGAATATTGATGGCTTCAGATTCTCAGATGTTCCCCTACATCAAAGGAGGCTGGTAATAGGATAAATCACACATACAGGAGCTTCTGGTGGCATACAGGAGAGGCATCCCACTGAGTCACATGTCACCAGCATATTATGAGAAAGCAGCCACATTTTCTCCTGCCCTGAGAAAGGCAAAGAAGGTTGAAGAGAAACTACCAGAGATCGTGAAGGTGAAAACTGTTCCAAAATTGGCTTGGTATTCAGGCTCCAGAAAATTTCCATATGGTGCCATGACGAAGGCTGACAATGAGACATTTCAGATGACACATTCAATGCACTGATGGGATTGCTCACCTCAACAGACACCAGAGTGAACAGATAATCATGTGGTTTTGTCTTTCACAGTTTTGGGGAGATACATAAGCCAGGAGGAATTTAAATGTCACTCTAGGGAGAAGAAGAAGATTAGTGAAAAATGTTGGGTGAAACTTGAAATGATGAATACACTTGAAAGTAACTAGATTAATTGTAAGGCTGAATTTGGACTTAAAATATAAGTTGTTATTGAAAAATAAAGCTATCTTTATGGTACATCTGAATTTTGTTACTTGTAAAAGTTGTGGACACTCCATAAGAAATCAGCCACAATCCTGAGACTTTGCTGAAGTTGCCTATCAGCTTAAGGAGATTTTGGGCTGAGACAATGGGGTTTTCTAGATATACAATCATGTCATCTGCATACAGGGACAATTTGACTTCCTCTTTTCCTAATTGAATACCCTTTATTTCCTTCTCCTGCCTGATAGCTCTGGCCAGAACTTCCAATACTATGTTGAATAGGAGTGGTGAGAGAGGGCATCCTTGTCTTGTGCCCGTTTTCAAAGGGAATGCTTCCAGTTTTTGCCCATTCAGTATGATATTGGCTGTGGGTTTGTCATAGATAGCTCTTATTATTTTGAGATATGTCCCATCAATACTTAATTTATTGAGAGTTTTTAGCATGAGGGGTTGTTGAATTTTTCAAGGGCCTTTTTTGCATCTATTGAGATATTCATATGGTTTTTGTCGTTGGTTCTATTTATATGCTGGATTACATTTATTGATTTGCGTATGTTGAGCCAGGCTTGCATCCCAGGGATGAAGCCCACTTGATCATGGTGGATAAGCTTTTTGATGTGCTGCTGGATTCAGTTTGCCCGTATTTTATTGAGGATTTTTGCATCAATGTTCATCCGGGATATTGGTCTAAAATTCTCTTCTTTTGTTGTTGTGTCTCTGCCAGGCTTTGGTATCAGGATGATGCTGGCCTCATAAAATGAGTTAGGGAGGATTCCCTCTTTTTCTATTGATTGGAATAGTTTCAGAAAGAATGCTACCAGCTCCTCCTTGTACCTCTGGTAGAATTCGGCTGTGAATCCATCTGGTCCTGGACTTTTTTTGGTTGGTAAGCTATTAATTATTGCCTCAATTTCAGAGCCTGTTATTGGTCTATTCAGAGATTCAACTTCTTCCTGGTTTAGTCTTGGGAGCATGTATGTGTTGAGGAATTTATCCATTTCTTCCAGATTTTCTAGTTTATTTGCACAGAGGTGTTTATAGTATTCTCTGATGGTAGTTTGTATTTCTATGGGATCGGTGGTGATATCCCCCTTATCATTTTTTATTGCGTCTATTTGATTCTTCTCTCTTTTCTTCTTTATTAGTCTTGCTAGAGGTCTATCAATTGTGTTGATCTTTTCAAAAAACCATCTCCTGGATTCATTGATTTTTTGAAGGCTTTTTTATGTCTCTATTTCCTTCAGTTCTGCTCTGATCTTAGTTATTTCTTGCCTTCTGCTAGCTTTTGAATGTGTTTGCTCTTGCTTCTCTAGTTCTTTTAATTGTGATGTTAGGGTGTCAATTTTAGATCTTTCCTGCGTTCTCTTGTGGGCATTTAATGCTATAAATTTCCCTCTACACACTGCTTTGAATGTGTCCCAGATATTCTGGTATGTTGTGTCTTTGTTTTCATTGTTTTCAAAGAACATCTTTATTTCTGCCTTCATTTCGTTATGTACCCAGTAGTTATTCAGGAGCAGGTTGTTCAGTTTCCATGTAGTTGAGCAGTTTTGAGTGAGTTTCTTAATCCTGAGCTCTAGTTTGATTGCACTGTTGTCTGAGAGACAGTTTGTTATAATTTCTGTTCTTTGACATTTGTCGAGGAGTGCTTTACTTCCAACTATGTGGTCAATTTTGGAATAAGTGCGGTGTGGTGCTGAGAAGAATGTATATTCTATTGAATTGGGGTGGAGAGTTCTGTAGATGTCTATTAGGTCTGCTTGGTGCAGAGCTGAGTTCAATTCCTGGATATCTTTGTTAACTTTATGTCTCGTCGATCTGTCTAATGTTGACAGTGGGGTGTTAAAATCTCCCATTATTATTTTGTGGGAGTCTAAGTCTCTTTATAGGTCTCTAAGAACTTGCTTTATGAATCTGGGTGCACCTGTATTGGGTGCATATATATTTAGGACAGTTAGCTCTTCTTGTTGAATTGATCCCTTTACCATTATGTAATGGTCTTCTTTGTCTCTTTTGATCTTTGTTGGTTTAAAGTCTGTTTTATCAGAGACTAGGATTGCAACCCCTGCCTTTTTTTTAGTTTTCCATTTGCTTGGTAGATCTTCCTCCATGCCTTTATTTTGAACCTATGTGTGTCTCTGCATGTGAGATGGGAATACAGCACACTGATGGGTCTTGACTCTTTATCCAATTTGCCAGTCTGTGTCTTTTAATTGGAGAATTTAGCCCATTTACTTTTAAGGTTAATATTGTTATGTGTGAATTTGATCCTGTCATTATGATGTTAGCTGGTTATTTTGCTCATTAGTTGATGCAGTTTCTTCCTAACCTCGATGATCTTTACAATTTGGCATGTTTTTGCACGGGCCACTACCAGTTGTTCCTTTCCATGTTTAGTGTTTCCTTCAGGAGCTCTTGTAAGGCAGGCCTGGTGGTGACAAAATCTCTCAGAATTTGCTTGTCTGTAAAGGATTTTATTTCTCCTTCACTTATGAAGCTTAATTTGGCTGGATATGAAATTCTGGCTTGAAAATTCTTTTCTTTAAGAATGTTGTATATCGGCCCCCACTCTCTTCTGGCTTGTAGAGTTTCTGCTGAGAGATCAGCTGTTAGTCTGATGGGCTTCCCTTTGTGGGTAACCTGACCTTTCTCTCTGGCTTGCCCTTAACATTTTTTCCTTCATTTCAACTTCGGTGAATCTGACAATTATGTGTCTTGGAGTTGCTCCTCTCAAGGAGTATCTTTGTGGTGTTCTCTGTATTTCCTGAATTTGAATGTTGGCCTGTCTTGCTAGGTTGGGGAAGTTCTCCTGTATAATATCCTGAAGAGTGTTTTCCAACTTGGTTCCATTCTCTCCGTCACTTTCAGGTACACCAATCAGATGTAGATTTGGTCTTTTCACATAGTCCCATATTTCTTGGAGGCTTTGTTCATTTCTTTTTATTCTTTTTTCTCTAAACTTCTCTTCTTGCTTTGGGATCTAATTAAACTAAAGAACTTCTGCACAGCAAAAGAAACTACCATCAGAGTGAACAGGCAACCTACAGAATGGGAGAACATTTTTGCAATCTACTCATCTGACAAAGGGCTAATATCCATAATCTGCAATGAACTCAAACAAATTTACAAGAAAAAAAAAAGCAACCCCATGAAAAAGTGGGTGAAAGATATGAACAGACAGTTCTCAAAAGAAGACATTTATGCAGCCAACAGACACATGAAAAAATGCTCACCATCACTGGCTATCAGAGAAATGCAAATCAAAACCACAATGAGATACCATCTCACACCAGTTAGAATGGCAATCATTAAAAGTCAGGAAACAACACGTGCTGGAGAGGATATGGAGAAATAGGAACACTTTTACACACTTGGTGGGACTGTAAACTAGTTCAACCATTGTGAAAGTCAATGTAGTGATTCCTCAGGGATCTAGAACTAGAAATACCATTTGACCCAGCCATCCATTACTGGGTATATACCCAAAGATTATAAATCATGCTGCTATAACGACACATGCACACTTATGTTTACTGTGGCACTATTCACAATAGCAAAGACTTGGAACCAACCCAAATTTCCAACAATGATAGACTGGATTAAGAAAATGTGGCACATATACACCATGGAATACTATGCAGCCATTAAAAAGGATGAGTTCATGTCCTTTGTAGGGATATGGATGAAGCTGGAAACCATCATTCTCAGCAAACTATCGCAAGAACAAAAAACCAAACACCGCATGTTCTCACTCATAGGTGGGAATTGAACAATGAGAACACATGGACACAGGAAGGGGAACATCCCACACCAGGGCCTGTTGTGGGGTGGGGGGAGGCAGGAGGGATAGCATTTGGAGATATACCTAATGTTAAATGACGAGTTACTAGGTTAAGCACAGCAACATGGCACATGTATACATATGTAACTAACCTGCACATTGTGCACATGTACCCTAAAACTTAAAGTATGATAATAAAAAAAGAAAGCATCAAATATCAATGTCAAAAACATCTCATATAAAAAAAAAGAAATCAGCCACAAGCCAAAATTATAAACCACAAAGTGTATCTCCTTATTCAAAATAGTAGGGAACGTTGATAGCTGATTCATACTTGCTCAGACATTGAATAGAAAAAAGTATAAAATAATGCAGGGTGCTAGTCAGATGAGATGAGAGCAAAGAGATCTTGCTAAACTGTAAGCTAAAATTGAAGCCAGGGAGGGACATGGGGAAAACTAGATGATTCCACTGAAAAGCAAAAGAGGTAGAGCTGAAAGCTAAGCCTCATTAAAATGCCATTGTTAATGGTTTACAAACCAGCACTCTAGCTAAGAAAGACTTCTAAAGGTAACATGCTATAAAGAATAATGAATGAGGATACAATAATCATGAGTCAGAAATTTGACCTGCATTATATATTTTGAAAATTAAATTAAGATGTGCTATGTGGGCTGGGCAAAGTAGCTCATGCCTATAATCCCAGCACTTTGGGAGGCCAAGGCAGGCAAATCACTTGAGGTTTGGAGTTTGAAACCAGCCTGGCCAACTTGGTGAAAACCCATCTCTACTAAAAATACAAAAATTAGCTGGCATGGTGGCAGGGTCCTGTAATCCCAGCTACTTGGGAGGCTGAAGCAGGAGAATTGCTTGAACCCAGGAAGCAGAGGTTGCAGTGAGTCGAGATTACACCACTGCACTCAAGCCTGGGTGATAAGAGTGAGACTCTGTATATACAAAAATAAAATAAAATAAAATAAGATGTGTAATGTGATAGAGAAAATAACATATTTAATGAAAACTTCTAAGAAATAAACTCATGATATAACCAGTGCACATCCAACTAATCACCGTACCTCTTCCACCTGATATTACCCTTCTTGGTTATAGCCATATTTATCCAATAAACTTCTCCTTTCAAAATTAAACATCAATAAAGAAACCCACCTAAAGCTTAGCCATAGACATGATACTTTTGCCCACCCATTCAGCTGATTCTCATGTTCCTCAAAAAAGGGCCTGTGGGGTTGAATAATGACTGCCACTAAGCCTCCAAATTCCTCTGGAGTTACATGTAACCCATTAAAGGAAGCATCACTTAGAATAGTGAAGAAGGAAACAATCTGTTCTACGCACTCCGAGGTAAACTTTGAATATTAAACTGGTTTCATTTAAGGAAAAGATAAATTATATAAGTTATTGAGTTGCCCTTTACATATTATTTGTTAGAAAGCTTATTTCTAATATTGTGTCCTACCTAACCTACCTTCTAATAAATTCTTTATATATTTTAGTTTTGTTTTGGGGTACACCTTATGCTCCCTTATTTAATTATTAATTTTATTGGATCCTATATTTAAGCCATTTTTACATTTATATATTCTTGCTAAAAACTTGTCATTTATTTTAATGATGTAAGAGAGTCAAATAACTTAAAAATTATGTTCGCAAATTCAAAGATTTATAGAAAACTCAAAGTAATATCATTAACACCAATAACATCATTGGTAGGATCATTTTTGTCCTATTTGTTTTGTTATTTCTCAGTAGTTTATAAGAAGCATGTATTTGTTCATAATGAGGAAAAATTATTTGAAGCTTTCAATGAAGAGATTTTATTCCATTTTTTTATTTGCAAAAAATAGTCTCCTACATCTCAGGATCTTTAAAAGTTTATTTCTCACTCACATATTATGTCCAAAATGCAGTGGTAGACATTGTTCATTGAAGTCATTCATGAGCCAAGGGTAATGGATACTTTATTTAGAATGCTCTCCTTTATCATTGCAGTAAGGAAAGGGAGACAGGGCAAAACATGCACTGGCTTGTAAAGTTTCTGCCTGGAATTTGCACATATCTTCTCCTCACACCTCATTAACCAAAGCAAGTCACATGACATAGCCTAATCTCAGCAGGGACAGTGAAGGTACTCCTACCATGTCCTGGAAGGAAATGAGACTTAAAATACTCCAAGAGTACAAATGATGACCCCCACTGGTAATGATTACTAGAACAGTGATAAAAGGTTAGGAAGAACCATTGCACATAGAAAAAAACTATATATATGTATATGTGTATATATATATATATTTCATATTACTCCCTCTATGTAATATAAATTACATAGGTGCGTCAAGAAGGCTGAATGAAACCTTTTAGTATTTGTCCCCTCAGAGGAACTAAAAATTGAACAACGACCCACATAGGAAGTCAGCTTCATAAGAACCAAAAATCAGACGAGGGATTACAGTGCTTGGTTTTAACATCATATCAAGGAAAGAGACACTGAAGAGGGTAGGAGAGCCAGTCTTGCATTGCATACAACACTCCTCCTTTATCCCTTAGAATTCCTGCTTGCCTGCTTTGGAAAGAGAAATTGTGTACTTGTGGGAGGGAGAGCCAAATAATGGTGGTACTTTGCGTTGGAACTTAGTGCTGTTGTATTACAACAGAACACAACACAGGGCAGAATTTGGCCAGAGAATTAGACCAGCTCAAGCCAAAGGGGATTCATTCATGAGTTCCGACTAGCCCATCACCATGAAGCAAAGTGTCCTGGGGTCCTGAATAAATTTGAAAGGCAGTCTAGGGCACAAGGATGGATGTTCCTGGGAAAGTCCTGGTGCTGTGCTAGACTGAGAGACAGTGGACTTGAGGTCCATTGACCTAGTTAGATACCAGCTAGGGCAGCCAAGAAAGTGCTTGGGTCATGCCCCTCCTAATTCCAGGTAGCACAGCTTGCAGCTCCAGTTGAAAGGAGAGGGAAGATAAAAGAGGACTTTTTCTTGCAACTTGGATACTAGCTTAGCCACAGTAAAATACAACACCAAGCAAAGTCCTGAAGCCCCGAATTCCAGGCCATAACTCCTGGATGGCAGTTCAAGACCCACACTCTAGGTTAGAAGGGAAACTGCTGTCCTGAAAGGAAAAACTCAGTCCTGGCAGAATTCATCACCAACAACTAGAGAGCCCTTGGGCCTTGAATAAACATCAGTGATAGACAGACAATAGTTGTCATAGGCCTTGGGTAAGACCCAGTACTATATTAGCATCAGGTGTTATCCAGTGCAGCTGTGGTGGTCATGAGAGTGCTTGAATCACACCTCCCTAACTTCAGGCAGCTCAGCACAAAGACAGACTTTGCTTGGGGGAAAGTAAGAGAAAACAAAAAGAGACCCTGTGTGGTAATCTAGGGAATCCTCCTGGACCTTACCGAAGACCACCAAAGCAGTACCTCTACAAGTGTGCAAGAGTCACAGCGTTAGTGGGTTTGGGGTACCCACTAATGCAGATAAGGATGCAGTGAACAAAGACTTATATTACAACACTTAATTCCCTTTGAATACTCAGAAAGCCGTTTCAAGAAGGACAGGTACAAACAAGTCCAGAGGGCAAAGACTAGAATAAACATCTAACTCTTCAGTTCCTAGACATTAATGAACACTTACAAGCATCAAGACCATTCAGGAAAATATCACCTGTATAAACTAAAAAAGGCACCAGTGCCTAATCCTGGAGTGACAGAGATATGAGACTTTTCAGACAGAAAATTCAATATACCTGTTTTGAGGAAGCTCAGCAAACTTCAAGATAACACAGAGAAGGAATTCAGAATCCTATCAGATAAAATTTTAAAAAAGGCTGAAATAATTTTTTAAAAAATGAAGCAGAAATCTGGGAGCTAAAAAATTTAATTGACAAATTTAGAAATTCACGAGTCAACCGTGTAATTGATCATGCAGAAGAAAGAATAGGTGAGCTTGAAAAAATGGTATTTGAAAATTCACAATTACTAAGGAAAAAATAAAAAACAATGAAAAAGAATGAAGTATGTCTGCAAATCCAGAAAACAGTCTTAAAAAGATAAATCTAAGAGATACTGGTCTTAGGGAGGAGACAAAAAGACTGGGGTGAAAATTTCTTCAAAGAGGTCATAACAGAAAACCTTCCAAACCCAGAGAAAGACATCAGTATTCAAGCACGAGAAGGTTATGGAACGCCAAAACAGATTTAACTCAAATAAGACTACCTCAAGACGTTTAATAATCAAATTCCAAAAGGGTAAGAATAAAGAAATGATTCTAAAAGCGGGAAGAAAAGAGAAACAGGTAATATATAAAGAAGCTCCAATACATTTGGTAGCTGACTTCTCATTAGAAAATTTATAGGCTGGGAGAGAGTGACATGACATATTCAAGGTGTTGAAGAAAAAATTATTTTATTCTAGAATAGTATATACAGCAGAAATATTCTTCAAACATGAAGAAGAAATAAAAACTTTTGCAGACAAACAAAAGCTGAGGGATTTCGGCAATACCAGATGTGTCTTACAAGAAATACTAAAGAGACTTCTTCAATCTGAAAGAGAGGACTTTAACAGGCAACAAAAAACCATCTGTAAGTACTAAACTCACTGGTAACAGTAAATACACATACAAAAACAGAACACTCTAACACGGCAATTGTGGTATGTAAACCACTCATGTCTTGAGTAGGAAGACTAAAAGACAAACCTATCAAAAATAACTACAACTTTTTGATAGTATAAAATATATACATAGAAACAACTAAAAGTTAAAAAGTGAGGGGACAATGGATTTAAAGTGTAGATTTTATATTAATTTTGTCTTTGCTTGTTTATTTGTGTGTTTTTGGAATAGTGTTAAGTTGTTACTAGTTTAAAATAAGATGTTATATTCAAGCCCCATGGAAACCTCAAATAAAAAAAGCCTACAACAAATACACAAAAAATTAAAAAGATTAAAACATAGCACCAGAGAAAATTACTTTTACAAAATGGAAGGAAGGAAGACCACAAAACAACTAGAAGACAAATAATAAAATGGAAGTAGTAAGCCCTTTCAATAGGAATATTGAATAGAAATGGACTAAACTCTCCAAATAAAAAAGATAATGTGGCTGAATGAATTAAAAACAAGACCTAACTATCTTCTGCCTACAAAAAACACAGTTCACCTAAAAAGACACACAGATTGAAAATTAAGGGACAAAAGATGGCATCCCATGCAAATAGAGGCAAACAAAAAAAAAGAACAGGAGTAGTTATACATGTATCAGGTAAAACAGATTCCAAGACAAAAGCTGTAAAAAGAGACAAAAAATTCATTGCATAATGATAAAGAGGTCAATTTAGCAATGGGATATAACAATTATAAATATAAATGCACCCAGTACTGGAGCATTCAGATATGTAAAGCATATATTATTAGACCCAACAAAATGATAGCTGGAGACCTCAGCACCCTCATTCCAGCATCAGACAGATCATCCAGACAAAAAAGGAACATTGGACTTCACCTGCACTATAGACCAAATGTAGCTAATAGATATTTATAAAACATTTTATTCAACAACTGCAGAATACACATTCTTCTCAGCATATGGATTATTATTAAGACAGACCATATGTTAGACCACAAAAAAAGTCTTAAAAAGTTCAAAAAAATCAAAATCATATCTAGTACCTACTCTAACTACAATGAAATATAACTAGAAATCAGTAACAAGAGAAACTGTGGAAACTACACAAAAACATGAAAATTAAACAATATGCTCCTAAGTGACAAGTGAGTCAATGAAGAAATTGAGAAGCAAATTAAATAATTTCTTGAAACAAATAAATATGAAAATAGTATGTTCTAAAACTTAAGAAATGCAGCAAAAGCAATACTAAGATTAAAGTTTATAGCAATAAGCACCTACATCAAAAATTTAAAAAAAATCAAATAAACAACTTCATGATATATCTTAATTAACTAGAAAAGCAAGAGCAAACCAAACCCAAAACTGATAGAAAAAGAAATAATAATGATCAGAGCCGAAATAAATAAAACTGAAACAAAAGAATCAATACAAAATATCAATAAAGTAAAAAGTTGGTTTTTAAAAAGATACAATTGAAAAACCTTTAGCCAGACTAAGAAAAGAAGACCCCAAAAAATACAATCACAGATTAAAAAAAGGAGACATTACAACTGATATGCTGAAGTTCAAAGGACCAGTAGTGACTACTATGAGCAACTATATGCCAGTAAATAGGAAAACCAAGAAGAAATGGATGAATTCGTAGACACAAACAACTTACCAACATTGAGTCATGAAGAAATCTGAGAGCTGAATAGATCAATAATAAGCAACGAGATTAGCAAAGCCTAAGACCCAAAGCCTTCACTGCTGAATTTTAGCAAACCTTTAAAGAAGACTAGTACCAAACCTACTCAAACTATTCCAAAAAATTGAGGAAGAGGGAATATTTCCAACTGCTTCCATGAGGCCAGTATTATTGTGATACCAAACCAGACAGACACAACAATCACAAAAAACAAGCCAATATTGCTGATGAATTTTGATGCAAAAAAATCATCAACAAAATACTAACATACTGAATTCAACAACACATTAAAATGATCATTCATCAGATCAAGTGGAATTTATCTCGGGAATACAAAGATGGTTCAACAAATGCAAATCAATCAATGTGATACATCATATCAACAGAATGAAGGACAAAAAAACCTGTATAATTATTTGAATAGATGCTGAAAAATCATTTAATAAATGCTTCTCACTCTAGTTTCCAAGAAACTCCTCATCTCCATCTCATGATATAAAACCTTAAAAAATCAAGATACACAAGGAACATATTATATTATACCTCAGGTATAATATATTACACCTGAGCATAATAAGAGCTATATATTACAGACCCATGGCTAGTATCATACTGAATGGAGAATGACTGAAATTCTTTCCTCTAAGATCTGAAACAACCCAGGGATGCCCCACTTTCATCACTGTTTATTCTGGAAGTCCTAGCTATAGTAACTAGAAAAGGGAAAGAAATAAAAACCAGCCAAATTGGAACAGAAGACTTCAAGTTATGCTTGTTTGCAAATGATCTTTTCTTTTTTCTTTTTTTTCCTTTTTTTTTTTTTTTTTTGTTTTTGAGATGGAGTCTCGCTCTGTAGTCCAGGCTGAAGTGCAATGGCATGATCTCGGCTCACTGCCACCTCTGCCTCCCAGGTTCAAGTGATTCTCCTACCTTAGCCTCCCAAGTAGCTGGGATTACAGGCGCCCACCACCAAGCCTGGCTAATTTTTGTATTTTTAGTGGAGACAGGATTTCATCATGTAGGCCAGGATGGTCTTGATCTCTTGACCTCGTGATCCACACTCCTGGGCTTCCCAAAGTGCTGGGATTACAGGCATGAGCCACTGAGCCCGGTCAATCTGTTCTTATATTTAGAAAAACCTAAAGACTGCATCCCCCCAAAACACTATTAGAACTGATAAACAAATTTAGTAAAGTTGCAGGATACAAAATCAATGTGCAAAAATCAGTAGCATATCTATAGGCAAACAGCAAACAGTCTCAAAAAGAAACCAAGAAAGTAGTTTCTTTTCCAATATCTTAGTCCATTCTCACATTGCAATAGAGAACTGCCAGAGACTGGGTAATTTATAAAGAAAAGAGGTTTAACTGACTCATACTTCTGCTTGACTCAGGAGGCCTCAGGATACTTAAAATCATGGCAGAAGTGGAAGAGGCATGTCTTACATGGCAGCAGGAGAGAGAGAGTGACTGTGTGAAGGAGGAATTGTCAGACACTTATAAAACTATCAGATCTCGTAAGAACTCACTCACTGTCATGAGAACAGCATGCTGGACACTGCCCCCATTATCCAATACCTTCTACCTACCAGGTCTCTCCTTGGCCACATGAGGATTATGGGGATTACAATTCAAGATGAGATTTAGATGGGGACACAAAGCCTACCATATCATTCTGTCCCTGGCACCTCCCAAATCTCATGTCCTCACATTTCAAAACCAATCACACCTTCCCAACAGTCCCCTAAAGCCTTAACTCATTTTAGCATTAACTCAGAAGACCAAGTCCAAAGTGTCATTTGAGAGAAGGCAAGTTCCTTTTACCTAGGAGCCTGTAAAATCAAAAGCAAGTTAGTTACTTCCAAGATACAATGGGGGCACAGGCATTGGATAAATGCTCCCATTCCAAATAGAAGAAATTGGCTAAAACAGGGGGGCTACACACCCTATGCAAGGCAGAAACCCAGCAGGGCAATCATTAAATCTTAAAGCTCCAAAATAATCTCCTTTGACTCCATGTCTCACATCTGGGGCACACTAATGCAAGAGGTGGGCTCCCACAGTCCTGGAAAGCTCTGCCCCTGTGGCTTTGCAGGATACAGCCCCCTTCCAGGCTCCTTTCACAGGCTGGTTTTGAGTGTCTGCAGCCTTTCCGAGTGCACAGTGCAAGCTGTCAGTGGATCTACCACTCTGGGGTCTGGAGGATGGTGGCCCTCTTCTCACAGCTCCACTAGGCAGTGCCCAAGTGGGGACTCTGTGTGGGGCATCCAACCCCACATTTTTCTTCTGCACTGCCCTAGCAGGGATTCTCCATGAGGGCGCCACTACTGCAGGAAACTTCTGCCAAGACATTTAGTAGTTTCCATAAATTCTCTCAAATCTAGGCAGAGGTTCCCAAACCTCAATTCTTTACTGCTGTCCACCCACAGGCTCAACACCATGTGGAAGCTGCCAAGGCTTGGGGCTTGTACCTTCTGAAGCAATGGCCTGAGTTGTATGTTGGCCACTTTTAGCCATAGCTGGGATGCAGGGCACCAAGTCTCAAGACTGTACAAAGCAGCAAGGCCCTGGGCCTGGCCCATGAAACTATTTTTTTCCTCCTAGGTCTCCGGGCCTTTGATGGGAGGGGCTGCCATGAAGAACTCTGACATGCCCTGGAGACATTTTCCCCATTGCTTTGGCAATTAACATTCAGCACCTCATTACTTATGCAAATTTCTGCATAATTCGTCCCCAGAAAAAGTTTTTTTTTCTATCGCATTTGTCAGGCTGCAAATTTTCCAAACTTTTATTCTCTGCTTCCCTTTTAAAAGTAAGTTCAAATTTCATGCCATCTCTCTCAAGTTCAACGTTCCTCAGATCTCTAGGGCAGGCGCAAAATGTTGTCAGTCTCTTTGCTAAAGCATAGCGAGGTGACCTTTCCTCCAGTTCCCAAGAAGTTCCTCATCTCCATCTGACACCACCTCAGCCTGGACTTCATTGTTCATATCATTATCAACATTTTCATCAAAACCATTCAAGTCTCTAGAACATTCCAAACTTTCCCACATCTTCCTGTCTTCTTTTGAGCACTCTAAACTGTTCCAACCTCTGCTCATTGCCCATATCCAAAGTTGCTTCCACAAATTCTGTATCTTTATAATAGTACCCCACTACCTGGATACCAATTAACTGTATTAGTTTGTTCTCACACTGCTATGAAGAACTGCCCTAGACTGCATAACTTATAAAGAAAAGAGGTTTAATTGACACAGTTCTGCTTGGCTGGGGAGTCTCAGGAAACTTACAATCATGTCAGAAGGGGAAGAGGCACATCTTACAGGGCGGCAGGTGAGAGAGAGTGAGTGTGTGAAAGAGGAACTGTCAGACACTTATAACACCATCAGATCTCATGACAACTTACTGACTGTCATGAGAACAGCATGGGGGACACTGCCCCCATGATCCAATCACCTCCCACCAGGTCTCTCCCTGACCATGTGGAATTATGGGGATTACAATTCAAAGGAGATTTGGATGGAGACACAAAGCCTAACCATGTCATTCAATATTTACACATGAAATAGAATACCTAGTAACTTAGCCAAGGAAGTGAAAGACCTCTACAACGAAAAGTATAAAATATTGATGCAAGAAATTGAATGAGACAAATAATGAAATATATTCCATGTTCATAAAATATATTCCATGCTCAGAGATTGTAAAAATCAATATTGTGAAAATGTCTATATTACCCAAAGCAATCTACAGATTCAATGAAATCCCTGTCAAAATACCAATGGCATTCTTCACAGAAATAGAACAAATAATTCTAAAATTTATATGAAACCAAAAGAGACCCAAAATAGCCAAACCATCCTTAGCAAAATGGACAAAACTGGAGGAATTACATTACCTAACTTTAAATAATACTACAGAGCTATAGTAACCAAAACACCATGGTGCTGACATAAAAACAGATATACAGACCAATGGAACACAATAGGGCATCCAGAAATGAGTCCAAATATATACAGTGAACCCATTTTTAAAAAGGTGCATAGTAAATACAATTGGGGAAAGGAAAGTCTCTTCAATAAATGGTGTTGGAAAAACTGGATATCCATATGGAGAATGAAACAAGACCCCTATCCCTCACCATATACAAAAATTAAATCAAAATGAATTAAAGACTTAAATCTAAGACCTCAAACTATGAAACTACTACAAGAAAACATTGGAGAAACTCTCCAGGACATTGGTCTGGGCAAAGATTGCTTGAGAAAACCTCAAAACTATAGGTAACCAAAGCAAAAATGGACAAATGGGATCACATTAAGTTAAAAAGTTTCTGCACATAAAAGGGTATTATTAACAAAGTGAGGAGACAACCCACACAATGGGAGAAAATATTTGCAAATTATCAACCTGACAGGGTATTAATAACCAGAATAAATAAGGAGCTCAAACAACTCAATAAAGAAAAAATCCTAATAATCTGATTTTTAAATGACTGAAAGATCTGAATAGATTTTTCTCAAAAGAAAACATATGAATGACAAACAGGTATATAAAACAGGTGCTTAACATCACTGATCATCAGAAAAATGAAAATCAAAACTACAATACAATGTTATCTCATCCCAGTTAAAATAGCTTTTATCCAAAAGACAGGCAGTAATTAATGCTGGCAAAAATGTGCAGAAAGAGAAACCCATGTATGGTGGCCATGTAAATTATACATATATACACACAATTCTTGACGAGCCATGTGAAGCTTTAATTACTCTTTGGTAGTAATCAAGCATTTGCCTAAGCTGGTCCCTTCATTTGCTGACATGAGTGCCAGTCATATAAGCAAATTATGTCATTGTTCTTCTTTAACCTCTTTGTTCTAGAAGTAATTGAGAGAAGTATGCAAAAATTTCTTACCATAATTGTAGATTTTTTTCTAGTTTTAGTTCCATTATTTTTCTTCACCTATTTTGAGATTATGCTATTAGGTGCATACAGTTTTTTTTTCTTAGCAAGCTGGAAAATTTACTATGATATTCTGGGATGTTGCTTTATTTTGTTTATCCTGCTTGGTGTTTGATAGACATCTTAAGTCTGTGACTTAGTATCTTTCATTAATCTGGAAACTACATAACCATTCAATTTCTTCAAAAATGTCAATATTTCTTTTTCTTAGGAATTCCTATTTTATATAGACTTTTTTACTCTATTTTCTGTCTTACTTTCTTTTAAAATTTTCCCTTTAATTTCTGTTTGTTTCATTCTTCATTTTCTTCCCAGGCGTATTTCAGTTATTACTAATTGTTTCCTCAGCTTTGCTAAATCTAATGCAAAGTCCATCTATTAGATTTTCTGTGCTGTTTATTATATTTCATGGTTCTATGTTTTCTATTTGTTTCATTTTTTACAATTTAAAATTTTTAGTTCAAATTACCAGTTTCATTCATCTTCTTGAAAATGTCAGGACTAGCTAAAGACTGTGTCTGATAACTCCATTTTCTGCATTCAATTTGCATTTGGTATTTTTTGTGGTCATTTTTGAATGAAGAAGTAATGAGATCCAAAATAAAAATAAATAATCAAAAAGACTTGCAGTTCTAAAAGAATGCCTTGAAGCTGAGAAACATTCCTAGAAGGAGCTTTCCTCTTTAGTTTACTTTAAGAGTATAGTCTTTTGCACTGTCATCCCAAAATAAGAATGTTTATACTTCTCTTTTTTTTGTGAACTCTGAATTCACCAAGCTCTCAAACACTTTTTCTGGAGTTGAAAGACATTTTAGTGGGAAATTTAGCCCCAAATTCTAGGTTCACATCATTGATTTTTTGTGTTCACTTAAAGATTATTTCTGTTATTTCTCCCTGCCTTTTATTTCTCCAATACCTTCAAGCACATTTTTTAAGTGACAAGTTTAAACTCCATAATAAGAAAAGAAACAATCTAATTAAAGAATGGGCAAAAGGCCTGAATAGACACCTAACCAAAGAACATATGTATATGACAAATACGCATATGAAAATATGTTAAATGCCATATTTCATTAGAGAATGGCAAATTAAAACAACAAGATACCACTACATTTCTATTAGAATGGCAAAAATTCCAAACACTGACAATACCAAATGCTGGCCAGGTTGTGGAGCAACAGGAACTCCCATTTATTGCTGGTGAGAATGCAAAATGTTAGAGCCACTTTGGAAGACAGTTTGGCAGTTTCTTACAAAAGTAAACATAGTCTTACATATGATCCAGCCATTGCAATTATGCTCCTTTGTATTTACCCCCCAAAAGTGAAAATTTAACGTCCACACGGAAACTTACACACAAATGTTACGAAGCTTTGTTCATAAAAGCTAAAACCTGGAAGCAATTAACATGTCTTTCAGTAAGTAAATGGATAAATAAACTGTGGTATATCCAGACAATGGAATAGTATTAGGTTCCAAAAAATAAAAAAATAAAAATAAAAAAGCTGTCGAGCCATTAAGAGACATGGACAACCTTAAATGCATAAATGTATATTACTAGAGAAGCCAATCTGAAAAGGCTACATACTGTATGATTTCAACAACATGACATTCTGGAAAAGGCAAAATTATGAAAACAGTATAAAGATCAGTGGTTCCCAGGATTTGAAGGGAGGGAAAGAGGGATTAATAAATAGGACATAGAGGATTTTTAGGGCAGTGGAACTATTTTTTATGATACTACAATGGTGGATACATATCATTAAATACCTGTCCAAACCCACAGAATGTACAACACTAGGATTTAACCCCAATGTAAACTGTGGACTTTGGGTGATAAAGATGTATCAATGTAGGTTTACAGTTTGTAACAAATGTACTGCTGTGGCATGGGAGATTAGTCATGAGGAGGTTGTGCATGTATAAGGACACAGGTATGTGGAAACTGTACTTTCTGCTCAATTTTACTGTGAACCTAAAACTGCTGTAAAAATAAATTTTATTAATTTAATAAAAAGTCTTGTCCCCTTTACATACCCTTTTTTTAAATAGTCAAGTCTTCTATCTGTCTTCAGCAAAGTGGTTGTTTCTAATTATCTGATCTGTCACCACAGGAAGTGGTAGAACTAAACCCTTTAGTTGAATTTTCAAGAAATACACACAGGTACTAGATATCTGTTAGACTGTGAGATCTTTATAACGTAGCAACTCTATTCATTTATATTCTAAATATTGTTTCATAGAAATGAATCAATATAAAATTTGAACACTACCTGCTCTCTGAATTTCAAGTAATTTTAGTAAGGAACTTGAATTTTTTTCTAGATCCTTTTGCATAACTGGTTTTTAATCTTTCAACTGGTAACCATATGTGATGATTTGCATATCTTTTGCTGCCTCTTATACCCTCTAGATTTTTCCTGCAATTGTGTCATCTATTTCTCATCAAATTGATCTTAGATTTAATGTTTTTTCTTCTAATTACTCCTACCCTTATTCTCCCCATCCACTGAATAGCCAACACCTGGACTTCTCTTCTCTCTACTTAATACTCCTTTTAAAACCTAGTAACTATACTAAGATGTATTTAAGGTAAGGATTAGAAACAAGTGTTTACTCCTATACCAGTTTTTTAAACTTAGAGACTCTATTGTAATTTGATTAGGGAATTAGGAAAGTATCTAAAGAATATTAGCTATTATTTGTGAATTTGGGGGTTCTTCTCTGGTTGCTTAAACATCTGAAATCTAATATGCTTTCTTAAGGTGATTTTTATTTTCAAGGTGCAGGGCATGTCTGAGAGTCTGTGAATTTGGGACAGGTTATAACTTGAAGTGACAGGCATCAGAGTATGATTTAATATTTCAGGAATAAGTATTTGTTATTACTGTTGTTTTTAACTAACAACTCTAGTGAAACTTGTTAATGAGAAAGTTAATTGTTTTATTGCTTATATCCCTAGGGTCTGTGGTTGTTTTCATATTTTTTAGTATGGTTGTTTTAAAAAGCAAGAGTAAGAAAACACTGCAAAGATATAGGTTTCGGTTCCTTATATATTTTGAATATTAATTTCTTTTAGCTATATGGTTTGGAAACATTTTCTCCCACTCCGTAGATTGCCTTTTCATTCTATTGATTGTTTTCTTTGCTGTTCAGAGCTTTTATTTTGATGTAGTCCTACTTGTCTAATTTTGATTTTGTTGCTTGTGCCTTTGGTGTCATATCCAAGAAATCATTGCCAAAATTAAAGTCAATAATATTTTCCCTTATGTTTTATTTCTAGGAGATTTAGCTTTAGTTTTAGGTCTTAGGTTTAGGTCTTTAATCCATTTCGAATTTATTTTTGTGTATACTGTAAGATGGGGGTATAATTTCATTCTTTTGTACTTTGATATCCAGTTTTTCCAATACTATTCATTGAAGAGACTGTCTGTTCTACATCGTGTCTCTTCCCAACACTTGTTGGGAACCTTGGGTACCTTGACTACCTTGTTACAGATCGGTTGATCATGTACGCATGGATTTATTTCTGAGCTCTCTATTGGAAGCCCTTACGACTCAATAGCAAAAAAAAAAAAAAAAAAAAACTGAATAAAAATGGTGAAAGGACCTTGTATTAGTCTGTTCTCACACTGCTAAGAAAGACATACTTGAGACTGAGTAATTTATAAAGAAAAAGGGGTTTAATGGACTCACAGTACCACATGACTGGGGAGGCCTCACAATTATGGCAGAAAGTGAAGGATGAGCAAAGGCATATCATGGAGGCAGGCAAAAGAGTATGTGCAGGAGAACTGCCCTTTATAAAACCATCAAATTTCGTGAGATTTATTCTCTATCATGAGAACAGCATGAGAAAAAACTGCCGTCATGATTCAGTTACCTCCCACTGGGTCCCTCCCAAGACATGTGGGGATTATGGGAGCTACAATTCAAGATGAGATTTGGGTGGGGACACAGCAAAACCATATGAGACATGAATAGATATTTCTTCTAAGAAAACATACGTGTGGCAAACAGGTACATGAAAAGATGGTTAACATCACTGATTATCACGTAAATATAAATTAAAACCGTAATAAAATATCACTCCATACCAGTTAGTATGTCTACTATCAAAAAATTAAAAGATGAGTGTTGGTGAGAATGTGGAGAAATCAGAACCTGTCTACCTTGTTGGAAAGTATATTAGTCAGGGGTCTCTAGAGGGACAGAAGTAATGGGATAAATGTATATATAAAGGGGAGTTTATTAAGGAGTATTGACTCATATGATCACAAGGTGAAGTCCCACAACAGGCCATCTGCAAGCTGAGAAGCAAGGAAGCCAGTCCGAGTCCCAAAACCTCAAAAGTAGGGAAGCCGACAGTGCAGCCTTCAATCTTTGGTCGAAGGTCCAGGAGTCTCAAAGCTGAAGAACTTATACCCCCTGTATTATACCCCTAAAATGTTTAAGAGAGTAGATTTCATATTAAGTATTCTACACACACACACAAACACACACACACACACACACACACACACACACACCAAAAACAGAAAGATACAATAAAACTTTGGGAGGCAGTAGATAGGTCTGTTATCTGGGCTGTCATGATGGTTTCATGGGCGTATGCATATGTCCAAACTCATTAAACTGTGTGTGCTAAATTTGTGCTGTTTTCAATATATCAATTACATATCAATAAAATGTTTTAAAAGATGTAGGTACTACTGAAAAACTGGCATTCAATTTGTATTGAATGCCATGTTAACTTTAAATATTACATGATGGAAACATGAAATATCAACTGGAGAAGGCAAAGGAATTGACAAATATATTTTTCATGACAGGAAAAATCCTTCATAGGTTTAGGAAGGACCTATCAAGTTTTAGGAAATAAAATTAATTCTCACTCTTGAATCAGTAGGTATCACATGGTAGCTTACTTGTAGGATAATCTTTTAAAACTTTTAAAACTTATTTTTACCTAAAACTTTTTAAAGCCAATTATTTTGCAGGAATGTTTTAGAAATACTTCACCATTAAACATGATTATAATAATCAAAGTCATCAGCAGAAGTCCGTTATTACATTATGTGCAAGACACTTGACGAAATGCAGAGAAACATCTTTTTAAATGTCCTCTTAAAATAATTAGTTCAACTTATATAAGATTTTGCCTTTCATTGGCTCAAAATGAAATAAGCAAATAGAAATATACATAATGGGATGATTTAAAACTCTTGGAATGCATTCAACAATTATTTCTGAGAGGTAAGTAAATATGGTCTATTTTCCAAATTAGCTCAAGGAAGATTAAAATTAGCAATGAAGATATTGCATATTTAGGTCTAAATTAATTGCTCAGTGCTTTCTATGAAAAGGAAAATACAGATTCGAATTGTGTATTTACTTAAGAAGCATTTGCTTACCCGATTGCAGGTAACTTCCTGCTAAGTACACCTAAATGGGCATGGACTGCGTATACAATCCCCGAATGTAGGAGAAAGTCATTAGAAATGACTTTACTGGTATATTAAGAAATAATATACTTATGGAACTTTGGCATTTTTCTTTTACTTTCAGATGAATATTCTAAAGCTACAGTAATAAAATATTATCGTTTACCTGAGAGAAGCAAATGATACACATTTCTTTCCTAAAAATTTGAAAGAAATAGTATAACTATGGACCACTCTAAAATTCAGCTATTGATATGAGTGAACAACTAGTATCTCTCTGATAGAATAGATCAACAGGGTGGGAAACGAAATCAAGGATAACTAAATTGAACGGAATTAATTTACACACATTTGTCCCCTAACTGCTGCTTTTGGAAAATTGTTTTATATATCTGGGGAGGAAACCCTACAGACCAACCTAGCTATTTCATTTACATAAAATAAAAAGGCACACACTGTTCTTCCTGTATAAGGAAGGTAAATGGTCTTCCTTTTAAGCAGCACTTACCGCGGAGTCTTGCTCTTCCGCCCAGGCGGGACTGCAGTGGCGCTATCTCGGCTCACTGCAAGCTCTGCCTCCCGGGTTCACGCCATTCTCCTGCCTCAGCCTCCCGAGTAGCTGGGACTACAGGCGCCTGCCACCGCGCCTGGCTAATTTTTTGTATTTTTAGTAGAGACAGGGTTTCACCGTGTTAGCCAGGATGGTCTCGATCTCCTGACCTCGTGATCCGCCCGCCTCAGCCTCCCAAAGTGCTGGGATTACAGGCGTGAGCCACCGCTCCCGGCCTATTTTTAATTTTTGTGGGTACATAGGAGGTGTATGTATTTATGACTTACATGAGATAAGTTGATATAAGCATACAATGCATAATATCACATCAGGGTAAATAGGATAACCGCCACCGCAAACATTTCTCTTTTGTGTTTAAATCAATCCAATTATACTCTTTTAGTTATATTAAAATGTAGAATTAAATTATTTTTGACTATAGTCAGCCTGTTGTGCTAGCAAATACTCGGTCTTATTTATTCTTTTTACCTATTTTCTTGTACCCATTAACCATCCCCTGTGTCCCTCTGCTCCTCACCCTCACTATCCTTCCCAGCCTATTGTAACCATCTTTCTACTCTCTCCCTCCATGAGTTCAATTGTTTCAATTTCTAGCTCCCACAGATAACTAAGAACATGCAGTGTTTGTCTGTCTGTGCCTGATTTATTTTATTTAATAAATTAACCACTAGTTTCATCTATGCTGTTGCAAATGTGAGGATCTCATTCCTTTTTATGACTGAAGAGTTTTCCATTGTGTATATGTACCACATTTACTTTATCCATTCATCAGTGTTATTTTGCTGTTGTTGTTTGTTTTGGTTTTTTTGAATCAGGGTCTCGCTCTGTCACCCAGGCTGGAGTGCAGTGGCATGATCATGGCTCACTGCAGACTCAATCTCCCAGGCTCAAGCAATCTGTTCACTTCGGCCCCCCAAAGGGCAGGGATTACAGGCATGAGCCACTGTGCCTGGCCATCCATTCATCCGTTGATGGACACCTAAGTTGTTTCCAAATATTGGCTATTTTGAATAGTACTGCAATAAATATGAGAGTGCAGATATGTCTTTGATAGACTAATTTCCTTACTTTTGCATGAATAGCTAGGAGTGGGATTGCTGGATCATACGGTAGCTCTATTTTTAGTTTTGTGAGGAACCTCCAAACTGTTCTCCATAGTGGTTGTACCAATTTACATCCCCACCAACAGTTTATGAACATTCCCTTTTCTCCACATCCTATCCAGCATTTGCTATTTGCTGCCTTTTAGTTGAAAGCCATTTTAACTGGGGTGAGGTGATATCTTATTGTAATTTTGATTTGCATTTCTCTGATGATCAGTGTTGTTGAGCACCTTATCATATACTTGTTTGCAATTTGTATGTCTTTTTTTTTGAGAAATGTCTATTCACAACTTTCATGCATTTTAAAATGAGATTATTAGATTTTTTTTCCTGTTGAACTGTTTGAGCTCCTTACATGTCCTGGTTATTAATCCCTTGTCAGGTGTCTAGTTTGTAAATCTTTTTTTTTTGCATTTTATGGGTTGACTCTTTGCTTTGTTTATTGTATTCTTTGATGTGTAGAAGCATTTTAACTTGATATGAACCCATTTGTGCATTTTTGCTTTGGTTGCCTGTGCTTGGAGGGTATTGCTTAAGAAGTCTTTGCTTACTCCCATGTTCTGGTGTGGTTCTTCAATGTTTTCTTTTAGTTTTTTCATAGTTTAGGGTCTTTAAGACTTTAATCCATTTTTTAATTTGATTTTTGTAAATGGCGAGAGATAAGGGTCTAGTTTTGTGCTTCATATGGATATCCAGTTTTCCCATCACCATTTATTGAAGAGACAGTCCTTTACTCAATGTATTTTCTTGGAACATTTGCTGAAAATGAGTTCACTGTAGATGTTTAGATTTATTCAGATTTCTCCATTCTGTTCCAGTGGTCTATGTGTCTGTTTTTATGCCAGTACTATGCCATTTTGGTTACTATAGCTCAGAAGTATAATTTGAAGTCAATTAATGTGATTTCTCCAGTTTTGTTATTTTGCTTAGGAAAGATTTGACTATTATGGGCATTTTGTAATTCCAAATAAATTTTAACATTTTTTTCTATTTCTGTGAAGAATGTCAGTGGTACATTGATAAGGATTGCATTAAATCTCTAGATTGCTTTGAGTGGTATGACATTTAAACAATATTGATTCTTCAAATTCATGGAATATCTTTCCATTTTTTGGTGTCCTCTTCAATTTCTTTCATCAGTGCTTTACAATTTTAATTGCAGAGATTTTTCACTTCAGTTAATTCATAGGTACTTTATTTGTAGCTATTGTAAATTGGATTATATTATTGATATCTGTTTCAAATTGTTTGCTGTTCACATACACAAATTCTATTTTTGGTATGTTGATTTTGCATCCTTCAAATTTACTGAATTTATTATATTTAATAGTTTTTTTTTGGTGAAGTCTTTAGGTTTTTCCAAGTATAAGATCATATTATTTACAAACAAAGATAATTTTACTGCTTCCTTTCCAACTTGGATGCTCCTTCTTACTTTCTCTTGTTTGATTGTTGTAGCCAGGACTTCCAATACTATGTTGAATAAAAGGGATGAAAGTGGGCATCTTTCTCATGTTCCTTATTCTAGAGGAAAGGCTTTCGATTTTCCCCATTGAGTACGAATTAGCTATGGGTCTATAATACATGGCTTTTATTATGGTTGAAGTTTGTTCTTTCTATACCTATTTTTTCCAGGGCTGTTACCATGAAGGCATGTTGAATTTTATCAAATAATTTTTCATCATCAATTGAAATGATTATTTGTTTTTTATCCTTCATTCTGTTGATATGATGTATCACACTGATTGATTTGAGTATGTTGAGCCATCCTTGTATCCCTGAGATAAATACCACTTGTTCATGATGATGGATCTTTTCAATGTGTTGTTGAATGAGAATTTCTAGTATAGTTGGGATTTTTGCATTAACATGCATTAGTGATATGGCCTGTAGTTTACTTTTTTTGATGTGTCTTTGTCTGATTTTGGTATCAAGATAATACCGGCCACATAAAATGAGTTTAGAAGTATTCCATACTCCTCTGTTTTTTGTAATAGTTTGAGTAGGATTGGTATTAGTTTTTCTTTAAATGTTTGGTACAATTCAGCAGTGAAACCATCAGGTTCTAGGCTTTTCTTTGCTGGGTGAGTTTTCATTACAGCTTCTATCTCATTACTTGTTATTGGTGTGTTCAGGCTTTGAATTTTTCATGGTACAATATTGAGAGGTGGTGTGTATTTAGGAAATTGTCTATTTCTTCTAGATTTTCCAATTTATTGGCATAATTGCTTGCAGTAGCCATTAATAATCCTTTTGGATTTTGGTGGTATCAGTTGTAATGCCTCTTTTTCATCTTTGATTTTATTTATTTGGGTCTTTTCTCTTTTTCTTAGTCTGGCTAAAGATTTGTCTGTTTTGTTTAACTTTTCAAAAAACCAACTTTTGTTTTATTAATCTTTTGTATTTTTAATTTTAGTTTAATTTATTTCTGCTCTTTATTATTTCTTTTACACTACTAATTTTGGGTAGGTTTACTCTTGTTTTTCTAGTACATTAAAATGTATCATTAGGTTGTTTGTATGAAGTTTTTCTTCCTTTTCAATATAGACACTTATAGTTTTAAATGTCCCTCTTCTTATTGAAAGAGGGACCTTAAATCCCATATGTTTTGTTATATTGCATTCCCGTTTTAATTTGATTGAAGATAATATTTAATGTCCTTATTAATTTCCTAATTGACTCAGTAGTCATTCAGGAGAATATTGTTTAATTTCCAAGTATTCATATAGTTTCCAAAATTTATCTTCTTATCGTTTTCTAGTTTTATTCCATTGAGTCAGAGAAGATGTTCATATTATTTCAATTTTTTGAATAATTTAAGACTTGTTTTGTGACCTAATATACAGTGTTTCCTTGAGAATAGTTAATGTACTGAGGAAAAAAATGTGTATTCTGCAGCCATTGGATGAAATAAATGTTTTGTAAAGACTTATTAGGGACATTTGGTATATAGTGCATGTGAAGTCCAATGTTCATTTATTGATTTTCTGTCTACAAAATCTGCCTAATGCTGAAAGTGGGGTGTTGAAGTCTCCAGCTATTATTATATCAGGACTTATCTCCTTTATTTTCAGTCCATGTGTGTCTTTGTAGGTGAAGTTTGTTTCTTGTAGGCAACAGATTATTAAGTCTAGTTTTTTAAATTATTTTAGCCACTCTATGTATTTTGATTGGAGTGTTTAGTCCATTTACAGTCAATGTTATTATTGATAAGTAAAGACTTAACACCTGCCATTTTTTTATTTGTTTTCTGGTTGTTTGTGGTCTTCTCTTCCTATTTTATTTTCTTCTTGTTTTCTTTTTAGTGAAGGTAATTTTCTCTGGTGATGTGACTTAATATTTTGCTTCTTATTTTTTGTGTATGCATTGTATGACTTTTGATTTGCAGTTACCATAAGGCATGCAAATAATATCTTACAGTCCATTATTTTAAGCTGATAACAGTTTGATACATTTTAATAAACAAACATTTGAAAAAACTAATAAAAACTCTATACCTTAACTTCCTTTTCTCTTTTTAACTTTTTATTGTTTATACATTTTGTACTATCTATGTCTTGAAAAATTGTAGCTGTTATTTTTGATTGGTTCATCATTTAGTCTTTCTAATTAAGAAAGAGTAGTTTACACACCACAGTTACAGTATTATAATATTCTACGGTTTTCCATGTACTTGCTATTACCAATGAGTTTTGTATCTTCAAGTGATTTTTTATTGTACATTAATATATATTTTTTTCTGATTGAAGTACTCCCTTCAGTATTTCTTGTAGGAAAGGACTAGTGTTGATAAAATTGCTAAGCTTTTGTTTATTTGGGAAAGTCTGTTTCCTCTTCATATTGGAAGAATATTTTCATTAGACATACTATTCTGTGGTAAAAGTTTTTCCTTCAGCACTTTAAATTTGTCATGCTACTCTCTCCTGGCCTGTAAAGTTTCCACTGAAACGTTTGCTGACAGATGTATTGGAGATTCATTCTACATTATTTGTTTCATCTCTCTTGGTGCTTTTAGGGTCCTTTCTTTAGCCTTGACCTTTAAGAGTTTGATTATCAAGTGCCTTCAACTAGGCTTCTTTGGGTAAAAATTGTTTGCTGTTCATGTTAGTCTGTTATCACACTGTTATAAAGATATAACCTGAGACTGCTTAATTTATAAAGAAAAGAGGTTTAATTGATTCACAGTTCCACATGGCTGGGAAAGCCTCAAGAAACTTACAATCATGGCAGAAGTTGAAGAAGAAACAAGGCAGCAGGAGAGAGCACATGCAGGAGAAACTGCCACTTTTAAACCATCAGATCTTGTGAGAACTTACTTGCTTTCATAAGAACAGGATGAGAGAAAACTCCCCCATTATCCAGCTACCTCCCACCAGGTCCTCCCTGACTCGTGGGATTTACAATTTGAGAAGAGATTTGGGTGGGAACACAGAGCCAAACCATATTATTCTACCCCTGGCCCCTCCCAAATCTCATGGTTGTTTTTTTTTGCATATCAAAACAAATCACACCTCCCAATAGTCCCCCAAGGTCTTAACTCATTCCAGCATTTACTTAAAATTTCAAGTCCAAAGTATCATCTGAGACAAGGCAAGTGCCTTCCACTTATGAGCCTGTAAAATAAAAAACAAGTTAGTTATTTCTAAGATACAGTGGGGTACAGGCATTGGGTAAATATTTTCATTTCAAATGGAGAAATTGGCCAAAGCAAAGGGGCCACAGGCCCCATGCAAGTATGAAATGCAGTAGGGCACTCATTAAATCTTAAGACTGCAAAATAATCTCCTTTGACTCCATGTCTTACATTCAGGGCACACTAATGCAAGGGGTAGGCTCCCAGGCCTTGGGCAGCTACACTCCTGTGGCTGTGCAGGGTACAGCCCCAACTGCTGCTTTCACAAACTGGTGTTCAGTGCCTGCAGCTTTTCCAGGTGCATAGGGCAAGCCGTCAGTGGACCTATCATTCTGGGGTCTGGTGACCCTTTTCTTATAGCTCCACTAGGCAGTGCCCCAGTGGAGACTCTGTGTGGTGATCTCACCCCCACATTTCCTCTCTGCATTGCCCTAGTAGAGGCTCTCCACGAAGGCTCCACCCCTGTAGCAGACTTATTTCTGGACATCCAGCAATTCCTTACATGCTCTGAAATCTAGGCAAAGGTTCCCAAAACTCAACTCTTGTCTCCTGAATAACTGCAGGCCCTACACCATGTTTAAGCCACTAAGTCTTGGAGCTTGCACCCTCTGAAGCAACAGCCCAAGCAGCAACATGGTCCCCCTTAACAACAGTTGATGCTGGAGTGCCTGGGATGCAGGACACAAGTCCCAAAATTGTACAGAGCAGTGGAGCCCTAGGCAAGGCCCATGAAATCATTTTTTCCTCCCAGGCCTCCAGGCCTGTGATGGGAGGAGCTTCCTTGAAGATCTCTAAAATGCCCAGAGATATTTTTCCCATTGTCTTGGGGATTAACATTGGGCTCCTCATTACTTATGCAAATCACTGCAGCCAACTTGAATTTCTCCTTAGAAAATGGGTTTTTCTCTTCTACCACATGGTCAGTCTGCAAATTTTCCAAACTTTTATGCTCTGCTTCCCCTTTCAACGTAAATTCTAATTTCAAACCATCTCATTGTGAATGCATATAACTGTACATTTTCAGGAAAAGTAAGGTCACCTCTTCCTTTAATGCTTTGCTGATTAGAAATGTCTTCTGCCAGATACCCTAAATCATCTCTCTCAAGTTCCAACTTCCACAGATCTGTAGGGCAGGGGCAAATTGCTGCTAGTCTCTTTGCTAAAACATAGCAAGAGTAACATTTGCTCCAGTTCCCAATAAGTTCCTCATCTCCATCTGAGACCACCTGAGCCTAGATTTCATTGTCCATATCACTATCAGCATTTTGGTCAAAATCATTCAACAAGTCTCTAGAAAGTTTCAAATGTTCCCACACCTTCCTGTCTTTTTTGAGCCCTCTAAACTGTTCCAACCTCTGCCCATTACACAGTTCCAAAGTCACTTCCACATTTTCAGATTATCTTTATAGCAGTACACAACTCCTGGCACCAATTCTCTTTATTCATCTATTTTCATACTGCTATAAAGATATAACCTGAGACTGAGTAGTTTATAAAGGAAAGACGTTCAATTGACTCACAGTTCTGCATGGCTGAGAAGGCCTCACAAAACTTATAATTATGGCAGAAGGTGAAGGAAAAGCAAGTATCTTCTTCACAAGGTGGCAGGAGAGAGAGAGTGTGTGTAGGAGAAACTGCCACTTTTAAACCATCAGATCTCATAAGAACTCCTCACTATCATAGGAACAGCATGGGGGAAACTGCAACCATGATTTAACCATCTCCAAACAGGTCCCTCCCCGGAAGGGTGGGGATTACAATTTGAGAGGAGATTTGGGTGGGGACACAGAGCCAAACTATATCAGTGTTCTATAACCTTCTTGAACTGAGATATTGACATATTTCTTTTGAGTTGAGATGTTCTCTGATCATATGCCTTTGAATTATTTCTTTCTCTACCTCTTCTTTAAGGCCAGATACTCTTAAAGTTGCCCTTTTTAGGCTATTTTCTACATTCTGTAGGTGTGCTTCATTGTTTTTTTTAATCTTTTATCTTTTATCTCCTTTGACTGTGTATTTTCAAATAGCCTATCTTCTAGTTCACTAATTCTTTCTTCTTCTCACTCAACAATTCTGCTATTCATAGACTCTGATGCATTTTTCCATATGCCAGTTGCATTTTCAGCTCCAGAATTTCTGCTTGAGTTTTTTAAATTATTTTAATCTCTTTGTTATATTTATCTGATATAGTTTTGGATTCCTTCTCTGTATTTTCTTGAATTTCTTTGAGTTTCCTCAACATAGCTATTTTGAATTACCTGATGGAAAGGTCACTATCTCTGTTTCTCCAGGATGGCCCCTTTGTCCCTGATTTAGTTCATGTGGCAAGGTCATGTTTTCTGGATGATCTTGATACTTTTGGATGTTTGTCTGTTTTTGGGTATTGACGAGTTGTGTATTTATTGTACTCTTCACAGTCTGGTCTTATTTGCACCTGTCCTTTTTGAGAAGGCTTTTCAGATATTCAAAAGAACTTGGGTGTTGTGATCTAAACTTTTTCTGCTTTTGATGGCCTGCCAAGGCCAGTAACACTGTGATTCATGCAGACTAGAAGTACTGTCTTGATGGTCTTAAACAAGATCTGAGAGAATTCTCTAGATTACCAGAAAGAGACTTTTGTTCTCTTTCCTTATTTTCTCCCAAACAGAGTCTCTCTGTTTGTTCTGACCCATCTGGAGCTGGGGATAGAGTGACACAAGACCCCAGAGGCCATCTGCAACTAGGACTGCACTGGCTCAGATCCGAAGCTAGCACAGCACTGGGTCTCACCCAAGATATGCTGTAATCACTCTCTGGCTACTGTTTATGTTTGATCAAAGCCTTGTGGCTCTACAACCAGAAGGTTTCAAAGCCAGCCAGGCCTCTATCTTTCCCTTCAGGATGGTGAATTCCACCAGGCCC